>NC_000022.11:32648957-32800473 GCF_000001405.40 Homo sapiens | reverse complement strand
ACAAGTATCACTCCCACTTTCCAGATGAGGAACCGGCACAGAAAGATGGGATGATTGGTGGCCAGCCAGGAACTCGTCACCCCTTTCCACTGCTCCTTCCCATCTGAAGAGAGACATGCATTTCCCTGAACGTCAGCAGCTGTTCCATCTAACTGCAAATGGCCATTTGCAGCTGGGATCTTCCATCTTTCTACACTTTTGTCTCTTTCCCTTTCTCTTCCGCTTCATCCTGTTAGAAATGCCACAAGTTTGGAACAAATAGAAACAGGGAGAAATGCAAGTTCAGCTTCTTTCTCAGAACTCCTCTGTTTACATCTCAGACAAGTGACATTGGGACAGCAGAGGCCGAAGAATTCGTGAGAGATGGTATTTCCAAGAACATTTTTGAAACTCCTTTTTCCCCTTTGAGCACTTTAGCCATAGGAAAGGGAAACCAGTTTCCACATCTTTTTGACTTGTCCCCTCCACCCAGCTTTAAAAACCTTCCCTGCCTTCACTCTAACTGTGGCCTAACTCGTAGAGATGTTTCTGTCTCTCGATGTTTTTCTAGCACTGTTTTCATTGTTTTATGGGGTATGATTCTATTGCTTCCCCAACCACAGTAGGAATACTTTGAGGCCTGGGATATTTAGCCACACTGCTTTTTAGCCCTCTCAGAACCAAATAGGGTCTCAGGAGACTGGAGAGCATGGGTGTGGCCAACAGCTGACTGAGTCCTGAGCAGAGTGCCCTGGAGGCCACTCTAAGGATCCAGGTTGAATGAGGGCATACGTGGTGGAATTTGAGAGATTCGCTTATCCCCGCGCCCCACATGACTTATTCCACAGTCATGTGGAAGGTTTTAGAAGACTTTCCAGACCAAATCCACTTTGGATAAGCATCTTACATGATAGAGGCCCTCTCTTCCCTTTCTTTTCACATTTCAGTTTTGTCCAAAGTGCCGATATTTTCTCCAACGGAAGGCCTTGCCTGGAATATAAGTATCAAGTAGATAACTTCTGCTGAACTTCAAGCAGCAGTTTTCTCATAGAAAGCATCTGAAGCGTTTTTTTCCAGCAGCTACTTAATTATGAAAGCACAAGTATAATCTGATCTTTTTTCCAGCTGAAAAGTAACGAAATTACCTTTTGGTTAATTTCTTCTCACTCCCTATCCTAAGCTGGTCCACACAGTGTCTTGAAGTTCAGCGAATTCCAAGAGCTTTTCAGTTGGGATGTTCTCTCTTATTCCAAACCTGAGTCAGTTCCCCTCTGCCCACCGTGTGAAGGCAGTTTGGTTCTCACCCTAAGGAAAAGAAACAGCAAACTCCATGAATCCTTGCGTAGGGGAGTCCTCCTGCTAGGGTCACCCCCTTCAGCAGGCACCCATCAGTCTGGATGTCATGGTGTCCATGAGCCTAATAATATGTAAGAATTGGTTATTCAACATCACTTAATAAGCTAGGTGGGGTGAACCTGAGGCTAACAGTAAGAATGAAGATGCAGGCTGGGTGCGGTGGCTCACGCCTGTAATCCCAGCACTTTGAGAGGCCAAGGTGGGCGGATCACGAGGTCAGGAGATCGAGACCATCCTGGCTAACATGGTGAAACCCCGTCTGTACTAACAACACAAAAAATTAGCCAGGTGTGGTGGTGGGCGCCTGTAGTCCCAGTTACTTGGGAGGCTGAGGCAGGAGAATGGCGTGAACCTGGGAGGCGGAGCTTGCAGTGAGCTGAGATCATGCCACTGCACTCTAGCCTAGGTGATGGAGTGAGACTCCGTCTCCAAAAAAAAAAAAAAAAAAAAAAAGAATGAAGATGCAGGCTCTCCTGCTTTCTCTTGACAGCTAAGAACAATGATAGAGTTATACATCTGGGAAGAACTGAGTAAGTTTCAAGATCTATCTGGCCTGTCTACACACCTACTAGGATGACCTGGTATTCTCTTTCCTGGAACTTTTCTAGGAAAGGTGAGTTCATATCCACCCTCTTTGTATCAAGTTATAGGATGCTAGAGTCTGTAGGAAGAGAAGTCGTAAAAAGGACCTCAGAAACTACTCATCCTTGTTTTAAATGTGGGAAAAATAAGGTTCAGAGAAGTGAAGGAACTTGCCCATTTTCAGGGCTCAGTCCTCCAAGCTGTAAGGTGTGGCCCATGCTTGTACTGTGGGCTTGGAAACCCCAGCCATTCACAGATCTCGTATCTGCTTTTCAGATCTGTAGACAGATTCGTTTGAGTCTTTGTACAGTGCCCAGCCCACAGAGAAATTTTACTTACACTGATTAAATAATTCTCTACCATGATAATAATCACCCTCTGAGCCAATCAGAAGCAATACAGGTTTGTCCTCCTGACAGGTTTATCTCTTGTGTGTTTATTTTTTTCCCTTCCTAAATTACTAGCTAATGCATTCCAAACATATCACTATAAAAAAAAGCACATGAAAACTTTGTTTCTGGGAAATGAAAAGAGAGTAAAGTGGAAACAAAAAATCAAAAGACCTGAGATTTGTTCCCAATGTTGCAGAATAGCTGTGCACCTGCCTTGGTCAAGTCACTTTGCCTGTCCAGGCGTCCACTTCTGTGTTTATTGGATGAAAGATAGAACTCAGTGGTATCCAGGATCCCTCTCGCCTCAAAAACTCCAAGATTCCATGGGGAATCCTGTAGGACAAGTGAATGCTTCTGAAGGGGAGATGGGTCCTGCCATTTAAACAGGTTTGACACATGGGAACGTACCCAAGACTGAAGACCATCCATCAGTTTCGCAACGAACACTGAGTTCCTATATTGCTACCTCCCCCAAGAATCAATGCCGAAAACAGAATTTCAGAGAAGATTGTGATGCCAAAGTCCTAGGAGAGACAGGCTCTGGCTTATGGTGGAGCCCAGTGTAGTTATGCGTTCACCTGCTTGTTTGTCTCTTGGATCGTAGCACTAAAAAGTTAGGAAGGTGTCTTTTTTATCACCATTTTTTTGGTCTTCAGGAGTTACTGAACTCTTCCACATCCTTCAGACCTCAGCTTAGATGTCACCTCCTCCGGGAAACCTCCTCTGATTCCCCTCCCATGTATCCCCACAACACCCTGTATCAACTTCTTTGACAATACTTAGCTGACTCTAATGTGATTATTTACCCATCTGTTTCCCTTGCTGGAGTCTAAGCCCCTAGAACACAGGGATTAAGTGTTGGTAACAACGAGTTTAATAAGTATTGGTTGAATGGGTCCAATGATCAGCACCACCGACCCCTTTCCAGCATTCAGACAGGCAGGTGGTGGCTCCTTGGAGAGTTCACGGAGCTCTATCCCGCTGGCTGGTGCTAGGGGGCGCTATAAGCCAGAGAACACCCATTTGCTCAGCCTGCAGTCCTGGTCGGTCGTCTCACTGCGAGGGCGGGAGAGCACAATTCCACACTCATCGGTGGGGTGCGGGTGCCTTTGAGTGGGTGAAGCTCACCCCTCCCATCTGCCATGGCCACAAAGCTCTCAGTCAACATCCCGTCTGGGTTCGTGGCTGCCGGAGCTCCTCCACCCCTGAGCTGGCCACATGTCAACCAAAGGGGGAGATGCTCTCTGGGGAAGCAACATAGTTGTGAATCATTGGTTTGGGGGCCTTAGGGCGGTCTGGGAACACTGCAGAGGATGCCACAGTCCCAGTCTTCCAGGGCAGAGCTGGGTTTTGGAAATTCAACCTGGAGAAGGTACTGTCATTTCTGTTGCCTCATAGGGAAGCTCCTCTTTGCTTTCCTCCCTCTTCCCCTCCAGACCCTAGCCACGATGCCTTCCCCCAAGCCCCACCGTCCATGTGAAAGTCATTATATTCAAAATGGCCTTTTCCAAGCAACAGACAGCCTGGTCCACCCATCCCCATGAGCTCTGGCCAGACCCTCAGTGGGGCTGCTGCCCAGCACTGGGCAATTCTGAGCCTAAGATGCGAGGTACTGCAGGATCTCTCTGTGTCTGGCACCAGCAGGGGGTAAACACCTTTCCTTGCCTCCATCTGGAGCCAATTTCATGGCAGTAAAATTGCCCCAGCTCTCCCCCAGCTCTGCCAGCAAATTGAAGACCCCTCTGGCTACATTCGCCTCTGGCTACATTCGCATGAATCCTCAGGTTTTCATATTTCTTTCCACAGGGATCTACTCTCAGTGTTTTTAAGCCAGAAAACACATGTGTGCAGTAAAGCCATGTTGTATCCTGTGTTATCTAGGGTGGTGGGAAATGGAAAGCAGAGTCAAATATTCCAGCTCTTGTTTTCATGTGCATGTATGTGTGTGTATGTATGTTTCAATGACCATATATTCAAGCAGTCAATTATTTCTGTGAAGGGTACTATGAAATGGAAGGAGAAGAACTTCTCCCCAACCCTGTTTTAATGTCTTCCTTATGCCCGTGGAGTTCATGTGTTTTTCCTTTAAAAACGAGTAGCTCCTTTGTGGTTTCTTTGAAGGTTGCATGCTCAGCTTCACACAGAGAATACACACAAGCATCTCAGCCAGGTGCTGTCATGCCTTGGGAGGGAATGGGATGGACATGTGGTTGGTCTCCTGTTAGACTGGGCTGGAGGTCTTGTTTCTGCAAGGCACATGAGCTTTCTTCAGTGGAACCTGCTGGAACTGATATGGTCTTGTCCTGTGCTGTGGGGACAGTCCAAAGAGCAGTTAACACCATTGATCGCATCCTTCTTTAAACTTGGCTGCTGAGACCCTACTCTCTCTGGGATTCTGCTTTCTACCTCTCCATCTATACCTTCTCAGTCTTCTTGGCAGACTCCTCAGGTTCTTCCTGAAATTAAAATGTAGCTGTTTCCCAATTTTCTGTCCTTGGCTCTCTCCCCTTCCCTTTTAGCCTCCACACTCTCCCAGGCCTACCCCACGCACCCCCATGGTCGCTACCATGCTATGTGCACCGGAGTGCACACTGCAAGCAACAGTGTCCCTCTGATTGCCTGTCTTCTATCTCCAACTTCCTCCTGCCCAATTTCACCTAGAGATCCTATGGCCTCCTCGGACTCCAGGTGTCCAAAACTCATTGTCTTTTCCCCTCAGTCCCCTCCGGGGTTACCCATTCCGAAGGATGACATCATCACTCACCAGGTCCTATAGAGTCTCATGATCCACATCTCTTCTAACCATCCCTTCCTCTCATTCTTACCATTTCTACCTTGGATCAGGCCCCTGTGGATTCTTTCCTGACAATTTCAATAGTGACATAATTGGTTACACTCCCCAGAGTCTTTCTCTATCAACTTCAACTTTGCATTGCTGCTTCTGTACATTTTTTAAAATATAAATCTGAAAACATGCTATTCTTTGCTTGAAATGATTCACTTGTGCTCCGTGGCTTTCTGAACAAAGTCTTAAGCTCCAAAGACAAACAAGGCCCTCTGTGATCTGGCTCATCCCCAGGGCCCCACGGTCCACAGCTGGAGGAGGCCCTCTTCACATAGAATACAATGAGATGGCTGCCCCTGCAGTTATACAACAGCAGGCTCTGTTCTTGCTTATCTCTCTAAACCCATGCTGCCCTCTTCCAACCCTTTATATTCCAGCTATCGGTTTCTCTGAGCCTTGTTCACAATGCACTCTTGGCCTGGAATCTAGCCGCCACCAATATATTCCCCCACCCTCCTCCACCTCATCTGCCAGGAATCACGTATTCATCTTTCAGGATTCAGCTAGAGTCACCACTTAGTGAATATTTTCCGGTCCTCTCTCTGCCCCAGCAGAATGGACCACCCCCTCTCAGGCCTCTCCTCTTCTCTCACTCACCTCCCACCCACACTGGGTCCTCCGGGCTTCCAGCTTGGCACCTCGCACACTCTGTTGCCCCTAGTGGTTGATATCCCTGGTTCTCTTCTAGATATCGAGCAAATCCAGGTGCTTCTGTGACTGCCTAACACATCATATGCACATAGTAGACATTGAACAAATATTAAAGGAATAAACTAACCAATGAATGGAGTGGAGAAAAGGAGGAGTCAGAGTATCACCGTCACACATTCACCCCAACAGAGGTTCTGGAATCCAGCTCCTTGGGTCCAGAAACTCAACTAGATGAGGCTCCCTCAGTTGATCATTCTCACGGACTGATCCTAAGAGCTCAGCAAACCAACCAAAATCCCACTGGGCTTGTTTCCCGTGAGGTATTTCATTGTCACATAGGCTAGAGGACTCATGTCAACACCACCCCCATATTTTCCTCCTGATAGTCACAGAGAGCTTCAATATGAAGCTAGTTTCTCCTCAGAAGGTTGCTGTGGTGTGTGTAGATTCAGAATACAGGGATTGAGGGCATCATAGGAAGGGTCTTTCAGCTGAGATACCCTGGAATTCTCCTTTTCATGGAAGCAAAAGCTTTGCTGAGGAAATTCCAGTGCTCACAACCACTGGCCAAAGCCTCTCTTCCTGAACAGGGACAATGCTGGACACACAAATGCCAACTGCAGGCTCTTGGATCTTCTTGGTTCTCAGCACCAGGCTGGCCACTCCATCCTTCTCTTCCCCAACACTTTCTTTGCACTTGGAATATTGGAATTCATTTGGCTTCTACATTTTAGTATACAAGTCACCATTCAAAGATTACCCCCAGGTCAACTAGTTTGGGCTCTGGTATTCCCAGATTTTCAACTCTGCCCTTGCTGTGTCTTGATTTATTACCACAGATGGCTAAGCACAAGCATGGTGCATGAATGTATGGCTTCAGTAAGACAGATGACCTTGTTTCCAAGTTCTGGGTGTGTGCTTAATCATGAATTCTCCACTGACATTCTCCATTTGCCTCACATCTTATGTGTCATAGTGTGATGATCAAGTGTTTGGAGGATAGGGGCAGGGTCCTCTCCTTCCTTCCCTCCTTCCTTCAAATATTCACCAAACATTGGCAGAATGTCTGTTACTCCATGCTAGGCCCTGAAGATACAACAGTGAACAAGGCATAGAACTGTTCCCAAGGAGCTCCCAGTCTTCTGGGAGAAAAACACAAGAAAATAATAGTTGGTGGAAAGAACTACAGTGGGATAGTCAAGTGTGCCATGAGATCATAGAGCTACCTATCCAACCAGGCAGCAGGGAGTTGTTTAGGAACTCAGATTATGGTAAGACACAAGGTCAGAAGTAGGAGAGAGCTGTGGGTTACCAAGTTGAACTCCCTCATTTTACAGATACAGAAACAGGCCTAGAGAGGTAGACACCAGATTATTGGCAGAAGCAAACAAAGAATCAGACTCCTTAGTACCTCATCATCTTCCCGTCACTCCAGGCTGCTCTAATTCAGGCTGGGCCCATGAGAGATAATCAATAAATAATCATCTCCCTGCTCTGCAACTCGTCAACCTTGGAATGATAAGCTGAAAAATGTTTCTAAGATGAGTAAAAGAGAAGGGAACTTGGCATTAGTTGAATACCTACTATGTACAAGGCACTTTCAATGCAGTAGTCCCACTAATCCTCACAACCCTTAATAATAGGTACTAGGTACTATGGTATTATGCCCATTTTATGGTCAAGGAAACGGAGGCTCAAAGAAGTTAAATTGCATGTTCAATTTCTTACACTCAAGGAAGTGGCAGAGCTGTGATTCAGATGCAGGGGTCTCTTTCCAAACCAGCACTCTTCCTGAAGACTTCAAAGTCAATGTGCCCACACGTTCATTGGGGCATTTGCAGCACTGGTGATTTTCTCTTTGTCTCTTGGGTTCTCGTTGAGTGCTCAGAGCTCTTGATGCAGCCAAGCAGAGAAAAGCATAGTACCTACCTCTGACGACCAGGGAGAGAGCTTTATCTGCAGGCAAGTGAGATGCATCTCTGTTTCATTTGGTTTGCAATGGAGAGAAGGCAGGAGAAGTGACTTGGCAGGCAATTTCTAGGGGTGCGGGTGTGCCCTTCCTTACTCAAAATTTTGATAGATGCCATAGGAAATTTACATTCGTATTACGTAGATAGGGCCCAGAACCAGAGGCAAGCTGGTGGCATACTCATCAGTATATTTTAACAGCTAATGAACCTGGCTTCATTTCCTCCTGAAATTTCAAACATGAGATTGAGGCAATATACCAGGTTATTATCCTAGTCCTACCACATAAAATAGCTGTGTGACCTTGAGTAAATCAGTGACTCCTTTCTTTAAATGTAAAACCAAGTGGGTTGGATTTAACGATCTCTCAAAATTTCCCATGGAATATTCTAGAAGGCAGCCCAACAGGGAGGTTAGGAACCAACGAAGGCCTGTGATGTCATAAGTCTGAGTTTTATCCTTCTTTGCTTTTTCACTGTGACCTTGAACAAGTTCCTTAACCTCTCTCTGAGCCTCAGCTGTCTCGTGCTAAAAGGGAGGAGAGATGCATACCTCGTAGGATTTTCATGAAGATCAAACACTGTAAGCTGAATAAGATGCATGGCACAGTGCCTGGCACATAGTAAATTCTCACTGAGGACTGTGTATACCAGGGTGTGGCCCCAGGGGTATAAAGGTGAATGAGAACAGCCCCTGCCCTCAAGTAGCCTATAGTCTAGTGACCTGTGTTTATAAAGAAAGAGCATGTGCTTATATCCCCTTTGACCTTGTAATTAATACTCAAAGAAGGGATGGAAGAAAGGAGGCAAAAGAGAATAAAAAAATTTGATAGTCATAACTAATTCCTATAGAGTGCCTACTGGGTACCAGGTATTCTTCTAGGCAGTTTGCATATATTAATTTGTACCAGTTCTTATAGCAAAAGCCATGAGGTAGATGAGATCATCGTTGCCATCCCTTTTCACATCCGCAGTGAAAACTAAGGTACACAGAGATTATGTCACTTACTCAAGATTACATCGCCAGTATGCTGCCGTGCTGGAATTGGAAGCCAGAGCCCATCCTCTTAACTACCCCACCACTCTGCCTCTTCAAGCAGAAGGCGAGCGTTTGGAAAATAAGAAGGGATGCAAAGGTCAGATGCCCAGTTCCTGAAACCAGATGGGTCTTTCTTCCCAGAATGCCTGTACCCGCCAATCAAGGGTGAGGAGCCATTAATTAGATATGGCCCCTATCAGAAGTGACACTTAGTAGGGCATTGAGTTTGTCGGCAGCCCCTCTTGGAGAACAGTACTCAGCCAGGTCAATATGCCTTCCAGCCCTTGAGGTAAGCACCGAAGTTAGAATCAGAACATTTGAGTCCTATCTCCTCCAGCCTCCTGCATTGCTCTCTAAGCGTAAATTGAATCCCTATAAAGCGAAGGCAAACATCTAATTCACAGAGGCAGCTGCAAAGATCAAACAATAAGTAACTAACATTTACTGAGCGCTGCTATGTGCCAGGTCCTATTCTATGTAATATACAAGTGTAAAGGTATGTAATTCACACAACTCTATGATGTAGGGGCTGTTATGATCATGCCCATTTTATGGAAAAGAACACTGGGGCACAGAGACGTTTAGTAATGTAGCCAAGGTTACACAGTTAATCTGTGGTGGAGATTTCCAAGTTCAGCGTCCCATCCTGCACTCCTCACTATCTCTGAATACTCTAGTGATCAGTTAAAAAGATTTTGTGAACACTAAATGTGATTGTGTTTCTTTTCTCCGGTAGTCACATCTTAGGTCTTTGTTCATTCCGTTCCCTTGACCTTTTCTCGTAGCTACTATTACTTGTCTGCGATGGTGAAGAGCAAGGTTCTAGAGACCCCAGTGCTGCACTGGAGCTGGCTCACCCTGGCTTGTCAGAGCCTATTGTTATACATTCGGGAATTTGCAGGTCGGTCATTAAACATAGGCGTTATTTAAAATTTTGGCTGGGCACAGTAGCTCACACCTGTAATCCCATCACTTTGAGAGGCCGAGGCAGGCGAATCACTTGATGCCAGGAGTTTGAGACCAGCCTGGCCAACATGGCGAAACCCCGTCTCTACTAAAAATACAAAAAATTAGCCAAGCTTGGTAGCACGTGCCTGTAGTCCCAGCTACTTGGGAGGCTGAGGCATAAGAATTGCTTGAACCCAGGAGGTGGAGGTTGCAGTGAGCCAAGATCATGCCACTGCACTCCATCCTGGGCAACAAAGCGAGACTCCGTCTCAATAATAAATAAATAAATAAATAAATAAATAAATAAAGTTTAATTTAATTATATAATGTTATAACTAATAAATTATATTAATGAACACTTGAAACTCCTCACTCCTTAATTGTTTATTACAGTATACTCTTATTTATGCTTTCAGGGTAACTTTCATCTGTTGTTTCTGTATGGTGGAAATATTATATAATGATGTGCTACTGCATTTAGGAACATTACCTTGGTAACTTAAAATTGGCTATGATGGAAGTATTTACACCACAGAAATTGGCAAACACTGCAAATGAGGGCTCTTTGTACTGTAGAGCTACTTGTTAAATATTTACCAGCTTACTACTGCCTTTTCTTAACTGTGTGACCTTCGACAAGTAACTTAACATTCTTGTGCCTCCGTATTCTCGTCTGTGATACAGGGACAACAATAGCGCCTACCTCACAGAGTTACAAGGAATAAATAAGATGATATATGTGGAAAGCGTTTAGCAGAATTCCTGGCACAGAGCCAGCCAATCAGTGAATAGTCACTGTCAATATTATTAAGACAATCTACAAGTAGCCTTTCCTCCCACCCAAGCTGGGAGCACCCATCAGAGATGACCTAACTTGAAGTTCATCACCCTGTACTGGGATTGTCAGTTTCTGTGTAACTTTCCCTCTTTAGAAAGTGAGCTAATTGACAGGGCTAATTGAATTTCCTCTTCCAAGAACGTAACCAATACTGATACCCAGTAGGTCCTCAACAAATTTTTGGATTAAATTTAGTTAAAACAGTTTAGAGGCTACTGAAAAATCAGAATTAGGAAACATGGAAGCTTCCCCAATCACATAAATATTTAAGTACTAATAATTCTCCACACAAAAGCATTGCTGGAACATTGTGTTTGAGGTTCATTTCTTAGGAGTACCCCATAGTAAAGTCATTCCAGAACTGAAAGCGCCCTGAATTGGTGCCTGGACAGACCCACTGCACAATGAACTCTGTTTTATATCAGAGTTCTCAGTGTATATAATATGGAGTCCTCTGATTGTCTTAGCATGTCAAGTAGGAATATGATCGGTAACTTTCCAAAACACTTGAAGGTGGCTGGAACTGCTTTTTGCCTCAAGTATTTAGAGAAAAAAGACCTTGATGTCACATCAACAAACTCAAAAAGAGATTGTGCATACCTGGAGTGCTTTTTCTAGGCCTGGGAGGCAGTGATTGGGGGCTGATTTCAGGAGGAAAGAAGGGGAGAGGCTGAAGGCATGTTGAAAAATCATTTTTTTGTCTATTGCTCCTTTGTATGAACTGGTTGCTGGCTTATGCAATGCCCAGTAATTAAAATGGCTGGAATGCTTTGCATTTTTAAGGCAAAGTGAAGGCGGCTCAGAGGCCTGGAGCCGGAGCCAGCTGGAGGGGGGCCCAGCAATCCTACCCTGGCCGCCCCTTGGCCTGGCAGAGGTGACTGGCATCTGGCTTGTTGGGGGTGGGGGGGCAGCATGTGGCAAGGAGGAGGAAGGAAGTCAGAGGTGTCCCGAGTTGTTCCCACTCCTCTCCCCTTTCCCCAGGCAGGTGGGTGCACCAAGATGCATGCCTCTAGAATGAAGGTAGGCACAGGCCGCCCACCTTCTAGAAGTCCGTAATGACTAGTGGCAATGCCAAGTCATGATAAACAATAATAAAGCTGTTCTTTATTAAATATCTATCATGTTTCAGGTCCTGTATTAATAACATTGATTCCAGGACTTTCACAGGTGCTCAAATCCTTGATATAAAATGGTATAGTATTTGCACATAATCTAAACATATCCTCCCACATACTTTAAATCATCTCTAGATTACTTATAATATCTAATACAATGTAAATACTAAGTAGTTGTTATACTGTATTTTTAAATCCATATTATTATTATTTTTTTTTTTGAGATGGAGTCTTGCGCTGTTACCTGGGCTGGAGTGCAGTGGCACGATCTCTGCTCACTGCAACCTCCGCCTTCTGAGTTCAAGCGATTCTCCTGCCTCAGCCTCCTGAGTAGCTAGGATTACAGGGGTACACCACCATGCCCAGCTAATTTTTTGTATTTTTAGTAGAGATGGGGTTTCATCATGTTGGCCAGTCTGGTCTCGAACTCCTGACCTCGTGATTCGTCCATCTTGGCCTCTAAAAGTGCTGGGATTATAGGCGTGAACCACCACGCCCAGCCAAATTCATGTTTTTTTTAATATAGTCGTATTGTTATTTTTTATTGTTTGTTTTTTCCAAATGTTTTCCATCCACGGTTGGTTGAATCCCGATGTGGAATCCACAGATACAGAGGGCTGACTGGATTATCCGATTTCAAGAGAAAAAAAACGAGATCATATTACTCTTCTGCTCAAAACTCTATGGTGGATCCCTAATGCACTTGAAGTCTAAATGCCTTGGCCTTCTAGACCCAGCGTGGCATTGCCCCTGCTGTGGCTGTCCATGTCTCTCCCACTCTCACTTGTGTTTACACTACACTGACCTCCTTTTCCTCCTTTAACCAAGCCAAACTCAGTCCCAGCTCCAGGACTGCCCTGACCCTCCCTCTGCCTCTCCCAGGTCTTGCCATGGCCAGTCAGATCCTTCTAATTCTGCAGCTTCCAGCTCAGATATTACCTTCTCGGGGAGGTGTGCCGCAGCGGAGGAGCACAGCCATCCCCAGTCACTGGAGCCTCCCAGGGTCTCATTTTTCACATGGATTTTTCTTTTCTGGGCTTATCAGTATCTGAAAAAAACTTATTAAAATGTTTATTAATTGTCCTTTAATTCTAAACAATTAGTGTTTCTAGCTGCACAAAGAAAACAGTGCAAGATGCCTGTCTTATTCACTGCTCTGTCCCCGGTATCCCAGATCAAGGCTCAGTAAATATTTTTTTGAAATAGTGAATCTTCACAACAACCCAGTGAGGTAGACATCATCATCCTCATTTTCCAGATGAGAAGACTTAAGCTCAGGGAGGTTAAATCACTTGCTCAAGGGCACCAATAGGAAGCGATGTCACTGAGGTCTGTCTGATCTGAAAGCATATATTTTAGGATGGATATATATAACCTTCCCCCACAGACAGCTACTCTAGAAAACAGTAGAAAGGGTTGGGTGCGGTGGCTCACGCCTGTAATCCCAGCACTTTGGGAGGTTGAAGCAAGAGGATCACTTGAGGTCAGGAATTTGAGACCAGCCTGGCCAACATGGTGAAATCCTATCTCTACTAAAAATACAAAAATTAGCCGGGTGTGGTGGCACGCACCTGTAATCTCAGCTACTTGGGAGGCTGATACAGGACAATCACTTGAGCCCAGGAGATGGAGGCTGCAGTGAGCCGAGATTGCATCACTGCACTCTAGCCTGGGTAACAGAGTGAGGAAAAAAAAAAAAAAAAGAAAAGAAAAGAAAGGAAAAAAAAGAAGTTGGCACATTCGGGATGCTGAAGTATGGGTAGACTTGGTTAAAGACAGAGTATCATCACTGGTCCTATCCGTGTTGAACACTGCCTCCCTGATGAAACCTGGTCCTTCCAGCCCCCAGAGTCTGCCCCAGCCTCCCATTCCCCCTCTTTATTGTAGCCAAGCAGGACCTGTGCCCTTCATCCCATGACATGAGTCTCATCTTCTTCCCACCATGAGCTTTTGAAAATGTTTTATTTTGACATAATTCACTTAACAGAAAAGCTGCAGGAATAGTTCAGAGAATTACCAGATACCTTTTACCCAGATTCCCCAAATGTTAACATATTATTAAATCCCCCCTCCTTTAGGTTGTTTAAGAATAAGTTGCAGGGCCGGGCGTGGTGGCTCACGCCTGTAATCCCAGCACTTTGGGAGGCTGAGGTGGGTGGATCACAAGGTCAGGAGATCGAGACCATCCTGGCTAACATGGTGAAACCCCATCTCTATGAAAAATACAAAAAATTTGCCGGGCGTGGTGGCGGGCACCTGTAGTCCCAGCTACTTGGGAGGCTGGGGCAGGAGAATGGTGTGAACCCGGGAGGTGGAGCTTGCAGTGAGCACTCCAGCCTGGGTGACAGAGTGAGACTCTGTCTCAAAAAAAAAAAAAGAATAAGTTGCAGACATGATGCTCCTGGTCCCCTGAATATTTCAATATGTACTTCCTAGAAATAAAGACACCATCAACTTTTGTAGTGTGGAGCAGTTCAGCCCTGGAGGCACACAGGCCTGCATTCCAAACCCTAACTGTACCTCACTGTGTGCTCTTATGCAAAAGATTTTGCTTCTCTGGAACTCAGCTTCCTCGGCTACAAACAAGGGCACTAACAGCACCCACCTCATACGGCAAATATGAAAATTAAATGAGATATCCCAATTAAATGGGAGCCCTAAGGGCCAAGCACTGCTTGGGATGTGGAAAGTGTGCAGTAAGTAAATGGGATTGTATCTTGCTAGAATGCTGTATTTTTTTTTTCTTCTTCTTCTTCTTCTTCTTCTTTGAAGTGGTTTGAATTCCTTGGATTTCTCCTTCTTCTCAGGCCAAGTCTCATAGGCAAAAGCAAGACAGGTTCTGTCATTCATTCAGGCTTTATTTACTGAGCCCCTACACCAGGCCTGACCCTGTTCTGGGTACAGAGACAGAGCAGGAAGCAAGACAGACACAGTCCTGTTCTGAGAGCTGAGAGAGCTTGCGTTGGCCTGGTGGACACAGAAACAGATGGATAAACCATCTCAGCGGGCCATGAGTGCAATGAAGATGATAAGACAGAGTAACTTGTGGGATGTGGAGCATATAGGGTCTCCTTCAGTTAAGGTAATCAGAGAAGGGGAAAGTTTGACTACTTTCTTTTAATCTGAGAAAACACTCTCTGGGAAAATGTCAGGCACAATAAATGTTTTCCCAACACTTGAATGCACAGTGGGATGCACGAGCATTTGAAATCCTTGCAGAAGAACACACTAATGGGAGCAAGCCAAGTGCTTCTCTCCCACTTGCTGGGAGCCAGCATGTGTTATTCCATCAGCCCCCCAGGACTCCATCTTACAGAGAAGGAGACTGAGGTTCAGAGAAGGGGATCCCTTTGGCCAAGAACAAAAAGAAAGTACGAGGGACCCTCTGACAACATGTAACACCCAAGACTCTACCCGGAAGCATGGTGTCAACTTCCTAGTACTCACAAGGAAAAAAATGGCAAGTTGTAATTGAAGGAAAGAGCCCTGGGCCAAGTGTCAAAGACGTTCTAACTCTGGCTCTATCACTTAGGAGCCATGGAGTCTCTGTATAACCCTCCACAACAAGAGCTGCACCGACTGACCCCAGAGCTGCACCGACTGACCCCTCTCATCCCCTCCAGCTGTAACAGACTATATGCATTCACCTGGTTTTTTTTTGTCCTTTTTTTTTTTCTTCCTCTGCCTCCTCTTCAATAAAGAAAAGTAACAAAAGAGGGAAGAGAATTAGGAAGGAAAACAGATCAGCTGCCACCATCACTTGTACCAAGTGATCATACCTGGAGGCAGGAAGGGGAGAGAAGGCTCCTCTGTCTCAGAAGATCCAGCCCAGTGCTTTGTGCACAGTTGGGGCTCAAGCCCTGCCCTGGTATAAACAGGAGCATTTGCATGCATTTGTTCTCTCGTGCCCATTAGAAAATCAGCAACATTATTTTATGGCCACAGCTCATGCAGTGTGCAAATAATGCCTGCTGCGATATGCTGTTCTCTTCCAGAACTTCTGTTTTAAATAGGACACTGACATAAGTAGAGAACTTCCAAAGTAAGGTAGGTGAGGGAGAGTTACCATTGTTGTTAGTTACCTATGTATTGCTGCATGACAATGTTGCCATACACTCTGCAGCTTACCATAACACATATTTATTATCTCATGATTTCTGTGAGACAAGAGTCTGGACATGGCTTAGCTGGCTCCTCTGCAAGGCTGAAACTAAGATGTCAGCCAGGGCTGCAGTTTCATCTGGAACTTGACTGAGGAAGCACCTACTTCCTCACTCACTTGATTGATGGCAACATTTGGTTCCTCAGTTTCTACCTGGCTGTGAGCTGGAATTCACCCTCATTTTCTTGCCATGTGATTATCTCCACAGGCAGCTCACCATGCGGCAACCTGCTTCTTCAAAGCCAGCAGGAAAAAGTGCCTCCTCCCAAGATGGGCATTCCAGCCTCATGTAACATGATTGTTCATATTCATATAATCGCATATGCCCTGTCACCTGCGCCATGTTCTATTGGTTAAAGGCATATCACAAGCCCCACCATCACTCAAGGTGGAGGAATTAGGCAAGGCTGTGAATACCAAGAGTCAGGGATCAAGGGAGCCACGTTGGCTCACCCTCCAAACAGAGTAGAGAGAATGACAAAAGCCCCAGAAAACACAGGGTCTGGAGATAGTTGGAAGCACTTGCAAAGTTTAACCTGAGAAAGAGGAAAAAATAACAAACACTTATATTGCCTTTCCAAGGACTTTTGAATATATTAGCTCACTTAAACCTCATCCAACTTTGTAAGGTAAATACCATTATCATCCCCTTTTTACAGGTAAGGAAACTGAGGCACAGATAGTTCAAGTCACATGCCTACCACGACACAGTTATAGTATTGCTGGGAGTCGAATCCAGGCAGTTTGGCTGCAGAATTCATGCCAAAGATGAGATTGGTTTGTGCCAAAGATGAGATTGGTTTGTTTAGTTTCCCCCAAAAGACACTAGGACCAAAGGGTAAAAGCTGCCAGGTGGTAGATTAGGGGTTTATAATGATAAAGAGCAAGTAAAACTGTGAGTTCTGGTGAATTTCAAACTCCTAGCAGGAGAGAGCAGGGGTATTTCAGTTGGAGGCTGAACAACTGTATTTCAGAGACGGCGCACAGGGGATTCCAGCATGGTAAAGAACAGTGGACAAGACATCCTCTAAGCCCCCTTAAATCCGAAGATTAAAAACCATGTAAAAACTAGCAATCTCAAGGCTGGATTTGGCCCACAGATGCCTTGTGTTTGGTTCATGCCGCATTTTAAAATGTAATTCACAAACTTTCAGAAAAATTCAGATTTTCAGTAATTCCAGTTTCCAGCTTCTCCTGAAAAACCAGAAGCTCCGGGCCCACATTGCAAGGAATTACTTAGCAGGGGCTTAGAAGATGCTGTCCAGGTTAGATGAAGCAAGTGTACTCCAACCCGTCCCAGTGGACAGCCTTCTGTATTGTCTCTCCAACTGAGGCCACAGGTCTGTTATTTGTCATACTCACCTGTTTCAAGGCCCTGAACTGTACCATGAACTTCCAAGTCAGGCATCCAGGCAATATAAACCTGCATCAAGAGAGGAAGCACAGGAGAAACCCGGTCTTAGTGACTGTCCGAGAAGCTAAGTAAAGATAAGAAGGGGGTCATTGAGCTTAGTTCTCTGCTGTGGACTAAGATTAAGTACCTGGCTTCCCCAGATCTTCAATTCCCATACCGTTTAATGGGAATAACAGGTTCTGGTCTCACTACTCTCTGGGAAGCTTCAATGAGAAGTGCTTAACTAACTCCTCTCAATAGAGAGTTGCTTCTCAATAGAGAATTGCTCCTTCTCAATAGAGAATTGCTTCACTAATTCCTGTTCATCCTTCAGGGCGCAGATCCATAGGCTGAGGGAAGCCAAATCCTCTGCTACAATTACAAGGCCTGGGCTGGGCACGGTGGCTCACGCCTGTAATCCCAGCACTTTAGGAGGCTGACGCGGGCGGATCATGAGGTCAGGAGATGGAGGCCATCCTGGCTAACATGGTGCAACCCCATCTCTACTAAAAATACAAAAAATTAGCCGGCTGTGGTGGTGTGCGCCTGTGGTCCCAGCTACTCGGGAAACTGAGGTGGAAGAATCACTTGAACCTAGGAGGTGGAGGTTGCAGTGAGCTGAGATCATGCCATTGCACTCCAGCCCAGGAGACAGTACGAGACTCTGTCTCAAAAAAAAAAAAAAAAAAAAGAATTACAAGGCCTGGCCAGGCGTGGTAGATCTTACCTGTAATCCCAACACCTTGGGAGGCCAAGGTGGGTGGATTACCTGAGATCAGGAGTTTGAGACCAGCCTGGTCATCATGGTGAAGCCCCATGTCTACTAAAAATACAAAATTAGCTGGGCGTGGTGGCACACGCCTGTAATCCCAGGACTTTGGGAGGCCAAGGTGGGTGGATCACCTGAGGTCATGAGTTTGAGACCAGCCTGACCAACATGGTAAAACCCCGTCTCTATTAAAAATACAAAATTAGCCGAGCGTGGTGGCACCCGCCTGTAATCCCAGCTACTTGGGAGGCTGAGGCAAGAGAATCGCTTGAAACCAGGAGGCAGAGTTTGCAGTGAGCCGAGATCATGCCATTGCACTCCAGCCTGGGCGACAAGGTGAAACTTTGTCAAAAAAAAAAAAAAATTACAGAGCCTGAAACTTATTTTGTTTCCTTCTTACTATGGAATTTTCCTTCAGAAAAAAAGTTCTGAAGGGGAAAAAACAACCTTCTGAGAAGATAGAAAGAGGAGAACACATGGAAGGAAAACTTCATTGCGAAATAAGAAATCTTTGACATTGCTTGTCTGTTCTGTTTAAAAAAGAAAACTGTTTTGTAAGAGAATGAAAAAGGAGGAGGAGAAGCATAGTCTGCTGTAAATCTACTCAGTAATCCAATTCTCTGTGCCCAAGAATCCTAAGGCAGTCCTGGAGGAGAAAAGTATCAGAAAATGAACTGGGAGACTCTCAAATAGCAATTGTGTCTCAGCCCTAGCTCAGCCAATCAACAACAACAACAATAATAATAATAATATTAATAATAATAATAATATTAGCAAACACCTAAGTAACACCTCCTTAGGTGTTTGCTAATATAATAATAATAGCAAACACCTAAGTAACACCTACTATGTGCCAAGCACTGATATAAACATTTTATTATTAATTCCTTTAAGCCTGAGCCCAGCCCTGTGGGGTAAGTGCATTATCGTAATGCCAATTTATAGGTGGGGAAAACTGAAACCCAGAGAGGTTAGGTAACTCGTCCAAGGCCATGTAGCCTATTGGTGATAGAGTCAGGATTTAAACCCACATAGCCTTGCTCCCTAAGCTTTGTGTCCTTAACCACCATCATCTATTCAGGCTCTCAGGGATTTATTGAGGATGTACTTGTTCTATAAGGTACTATGCTAGGCACCATGAGGGTGAGAGGGAGGATGATGGAGGAGTCAGATAAGAGTGAATTCCTAAAAGATGGCACTTCCCAGTGAGTCCATTTTCTGTCTGTGGAACCTTGGACAAGACTACGAGCTATTGAGCCTTGCAGGTCTTGGTAGTTCCAGGGCTTTATACAATTTAAAAGGATTTGTTTATTGAAAGGAGGGATGCAGAGAAGGAAGAAGGGAGGAAGGGAGGATGGAAGGGAGGGAGGGAGGAAGGGAGGGAGGGAGGGAGGGGAAAGAAAGAAAAAAGAGAGAGAGAAAGAAAGAAAGAAGGGGGTGAGAGAGAGGAAGGAAGGAGGGAAGGAAGGAAGGAAGGAAGGAAGGAAGGAAGGAAGGAAGGAAAGGAAGGAAGGAAGGAAGGAAGCAAGGAAGGCAGGCAGGCAGGCAGGCAATAATACCAAGTTGCTCTCATTAAGTGCTTATTACGCTGGGTACTGCTAAGTGCCTTACCTACATGAAATCATTTAATCCTTATAATAACAAGCCTACATTGTGGTTAATATTATTATTACCTCCATTTTAAGGATAAAGAAACTAAGGCACAGGAAGTTCAGTAGATTGTCCAAGGTCATGCAGCTGGTAAGTCAGGGAGCCAGGATTCCAACCATGCAGTGTTATTTCAGTGCCCAGGCTCTGAGCCAGTGACGAAAACAGCAAATATTTGAGGTCAAGGTGTAATCCCTCCCATATGCAAGGCACCTGGTGAATTACAAAGCTCTTTGTGGAAAGGCTTCCAAGGGTGGAGATGGGGGCAGAAATTTCCAGGGTCCTCAGCCAGAGATTCTCTGATAACACAGGTAGAAAATACCAAGGGCTGCAGAGATGCGAAAAGGAAACCAGAGCGGCCAACAGCGCACTGCACAGAGGCCCTCTGGTTTTAGAGTCAACTCAGGTGCTGCTCTGTCTCCATCTCCTACAGCAGTTGTCCGATCACCTGTAATTTTAGCCCCCAGAACAACACTCCTGAGACACTTCTCTCATTCACCTCCCGGCACCCCCCAGGGCCAGCTTCAGCCCGTGAAATTCCAGCACAGTTCAGCAAAGCACAGACCAGACATGGCGTCCCACACCAGTGAGCTGGCAGCTGCTTCCTTTGTAACCAGACAGGTACACAAAGAAAAGCAGAGATCAGGGCAGAAGGCTTCGGGCTCAGTCAGGGCAGGCCATTTCTGTTTTTTTTCTCTTTTTTTCTCTCTCTTTTTTTTTTTGAGACAGAATCTCACTCTGTCACCCAGGCTGGAGTGCAGTGGCGCAATCTCAGCTCACTGCAATCTTTAGGGCAGGCCATTTCTCTGTGGGCCTTGGCAAGGCCTGGAGGCAGATGCAGAGGTTTGCACCGCCTCACCATAAAAGGGAGCGCTTTGTTCCTGCTCCCCTGCTGTGTTTGGCTTTTCTGCCCAGGTTATCCCAGGGCAGAATGGAGGTTCGAGTACTTGCCCAACCTGGACCCTTGATGGTACTAAAGCGTGGAGGAGTCGCTAGCAAGGACATCACGGTAGTAACCTGCAAAGTACGTAAGGTCCTGTTTTTCCTATTCATGCATCCCCTGGGGAGACTGGGCATTTGGGAGAAAAGCACAGCTTGGGTTTGATTCCCAGCTCTGCAACTAGCCAGCTGAGTGCCCCTGGGTAAGTCATTACACTGCTCAGAGCCAAGGTTTCCTCTCTTGTAAAGTGGGAATAATAATGCCCGCTTCGGAGAGTTGCAGCGAAGATTAAATGAGACAATCTGGTTTGTGGAAGAAACTTAATGAGGGGTGACTAGTGATGTCTCTTGTATGGTTGCTTCATAGATTTGTTTGTTTGTTTTTGTTTTTCGAGACAGAATCTCACGCTGTTGCCCAGGCTGGAGTGCAGTGGCGCCATCTCGGCTCACTGCAACCTCCGCCTCCCAGGTTCAAGTGATTGTCCTGCCTCAGCCTCCTGAGTAGCTGGGACTGCAGGCGTGTACCATCATGCCCGGCTAATTTGTGTATTTTTAGTAGAGATGGGTTTTTGCCATGTTGTCCAGGCTGGTCTCAAACTCCTGACCTCAAGTGATCCACCCACCTCGGCCTCCCAAAGTGCTGAGATTACAGGCGTGAGCCACCATGCCCGGCTGGTTGCTTCATATTTTAAATCCATCATTCACCATTCCTATCAATCCTCTGTGGCCACACATCACATTTTACATTCATTTGGATTTACATTACATTTTACATTCATTTGGATGATTATTTGATTAATGTCAGCCTTCCTCACTAGTAGTATGAAGGTAGGGACTATGTCTGTCTTGAGCCATCGTTCTAACCCCAGTGCCTAAGGCAAGCTGGGCACGTAAGAGGTGCTCAATAAATATTTATGGAATAAATTAATAAAGGAAATGAGAAGTACCCAATACAATGGTATATTCATTTATTTGGAGCAAAGTGTTACAAATCAGTTTTTATTATTGATAGTAAAAGTCCTGGAGTTTGTGTGTTGCTTTCTTATTAAGAAACAAATTAAGGTATGTTGAAGGTTGTCTTCAAAATAATGTCATCCTCTTTTGCTTGCATTTTGACGCACTTTCTTCGGTGACGCTGCAGTTAAATGCAAGTCCTAGGGATTCCGCTTCACTCAGCGTAAACCCTGATACTGGCTCCCATGGGAATATCATCCGTCATTGTGTTGTGATGGAAACAGGAGATTAAAAAAATGCAGTCTTGGCCGGGTGCGGTGGCTCACATCTGTAATCCCAGCACTTTGGGAGGCCAAGGTGTGTGGATCACAAGGTCAGGAGTTCGAGACCAGCCTGGCTAACATGGTGAAACTCCATCTCTACTAAAAAAAAAATACAAAAATTAGCTGGACATGGTGGCGTGTGCCTGTGATCCCAGCTACTTGGGAGGCTTAGGCAGGAGAATTGCTTGAACTCGGAAGTCGGAGGTTGTGGTGAGCCAAGATCGTGCCTCTGCACTCCAGCCTGGTGACAGGGTGAGATTCTGTCTCAAAAAAAAAAATGCAGTCTTACATCACAGAACACCTTTTCCTGTAGCTAGGAAATGAGGCATGAGAATAGCCTTGTCTCCCACTTAGAGGGCATGAAAACTGAGAAGTTAATGTTTCTGAGATCCTTGAGTGAAAGGCACAGACTTATCTGCTTCCTGCCATAGAATGTCCTGCCTTGAGATGTTGTTTATCAAACCATTAATCCTAATGTGTCTTCACCAGCCAGCACTTGATAGGATAAAAGCATTGTCCTCTTGGAGTGGCAGCTGGCAGACTCTATTCTAACACGTAGGGGCCTCCTTAGCAATAATGTAGTGTTTCTCACTGGAAGCCTCACATACCTCTGAGACGCAGGATGGTTTTAGGTGGCATCCCAGGAATTCTTTCTTTAATAGTTAAACTTTTTAGTACAACATGTAGTCAGAAAAAACTAGCCAATTAAATCCATGAATTCATGGATATTATTGCTTAGGGTGAACCCAAAGCTAGCATTTAAGTAAGACAAAAAAAAGAGTTAATTCAAAGAAAATACTAAGTAAATATGAAGAGTAAACTATAACAAGAAAATGACAAAAATCATAAGCAAGAAAAGCTAATATGTGAGTTTCAGAAATGCTGCTATTATTTATTTTCTTGCCTCTCTCCCTGTAAATCTGAGGGTTCTTTGGGGATATTCTTTATATCCCAGTGTCTAGCACGGTACCCGACACACAGGAGCTCAGGAAGCTCAGTGAATGAGGGATGGATGGATGCAAAAATGATGAACTGATGATAGAATGTTTAGATAGACTTGGCATCTGGGGCTCTGACAGATCCACTGAAGTAAAGTCCCTACCAACATACTGGGGACAATATTGCACCGAGTCAGGACTTTTCTTCCTAAACAGGTTTCTGTGTGATAATAATTGGATTAAAAAAAAAGAAGGAGCAGGCTGGCTCCAGGCCATGAAATGAAATCTAATGTGCCCATATGCCAGTTTCCCCTTTTTAGGATTCTCCCAACCAGAAAGAATTTCTAGCTGCCTGAGATGAATGGGGAGCTGGGAATACCGAGACCCACAGCTGGGACACGAAGGATGCTTTCGATAGAATATACTAGCTGTGTGGTCTTCGATGGGTCACTAAATGTTCCTGCCTGTCTCCTTCTCTGTGGAATGAAGGAGTCATTACAGCTAAAGAAATTATGTGATTCTGGGAGGAACTGGTTCTGAATTTGAAAGCCACGGAGAAGGGCAGGTCGGGAGGAGGTGCTGATGAGCTGGTACAAGGCTGGATTCAGGCTTGAAGAACTCACGTGACATCTAGTGATCATGCTGTGAGGTCAGCATTGTGGTTCTGGGTGGTAACATCTGTGAGTTCACCCACGGGCACTTCGAGGCTTAGAAACTTTCCTGTGTGTGCTCAAGGGATAGGGGGCGGCTCCTGCTGCTGGTGTCCCCACCTATCTCAGTGATGACCAGGGTAGCCTTGCCATGGCCAGCTAGGTAAGCAGGTTTGCTTCCACTTTGAATTCTTATGCCTTCTCCGTGCACTGCACTTTACAGTTTACAAAATGCTTTTCATGCCCTCTGTCCCATCTGATCCTCATAGGATCCCAGAATAAGCCACTTAGGGTAGTGCAGAGGGAGCATGGTAAGCCATTGCTCAAGGCTGCGTGACTGGCTCAGGAAACAGAGCATCCATTCTGGTGCAAAGAGCTCGCCTCAAGGTGGCCTAAGGCAGCAACTTGGAGCCAGACCCTTCATTCAAAGCCTGGCACAGGTGCCCGCTGTGTGACCTTAGGCAAGCTACATCACTTCTCTGGGTGGCAATTCTTAATCTGTAAAATGGGATGTTGACAGTATCTGCCTCCTAGTGCTGTTGTGAATATTGAATGAACACTACCTGGCACCTGGTAAGGCATGACTATCTTATTGCCTCATGGGTGACTCTGAGGATTTATCGAGATAATGGGTGTGTGTTTCTTTCCTTGGGCTGCCATAACAAAGTACCATTCACCAAGTGACTTAAAATGACAGAAATTTATTCCCTCACATTTCTGGAGGCCAGAAGTCCCAAACTGGTCTCAATGGGCTGAAAAAAAAAGGGTGTCGCCAGGGTTGTGCTCCCTCTAGAGGCTCTAGGGGAGATCCTTTCCTGTTTCTGATGACTGTCCAAGTTCCTTGGCTTGTGGACACAAAGCTCTGACCTCTGCTGCCATCTGCCTGGCCTCGTCCTCTGTGAGGGCACCAGATCTCTCTCTCTGCGGGCACCAGATCTCTCTCTGCCTGCCTCGTATAAGGATACACGTGATCGTATTTAGGGCCCACCTGGGTGATCTAGGATAATCTCCTGATCTCTAGGTCCTTCATTTAATCACATAAGCAAACCTCTACCCCCTACAGCCCCCTGCCACTTCCTTTTTCTTGGCCACAGGAGGTAACATTCACAGGTTTCAGGAATTAGGCATGAATATCTTTTGGAAGGCCATTTTTCAGCTGACAACAGATACTAAGCCCTTAGTAGGTACTTAGAAACAGTAGCTATGATTGTTAATCATCCTGTTTTACATAAAGGGAAACTGAGGCTCTGAGAGGTGGAGAGGGATTATCTCAAAGGGCCAGGAAGTGGCAGAATGTAGCCTTGGCAGCAGAACTCCTGATCTCAAGGACTTATGGCTATACTACCATGATACCTTGAGGTTGGTGGGTTGTTTGAGTGTTGCCAAGTTTGTATGACTGGGGCCACCCTTCTGGGTTGTGCAGACTGGAGGATGCATTAGGCTAAGGATACATGTGTCCTCTACTGCAATGCAAAGGAGAAGGGGTACTTTTGCCTCAGTCACCCTCCTCGTCGACAGTTATCTGCTATGGGAAGTGGGAACAGGGAGGACCAGGTCACCACTCTCTTGGCATTCCACAGGTGTTTGTGGCTCAGATGCTGCTAAGGACTGAATTATGTCCCCCCAAAATTCATGTTGAAGCCTCAACCTCCAGTGCAGCTGTATTTAGTGATAGGGCCTGTAAGGAGGTAGTTAGATTAGACAAGGTCAGAAGGGTGGGACCCTGATCTCATAGGATTAGTGTCCTTATAAGAAGAAACTCTAGAGAACTTGCTCCCTAGTCCACCTCTCCACACTCCTGCATGCACACCAAGGAAAGGCTACATGAGGACACAGTGAGAAGGTGGCTGTCTACAAGCCAGCAAGAGAGCCCTCACCAGCCAGAGCCTTGATCTTGGACATCCAGCCTCCAGAACTATGAGAAAATAAAATCTGCTGCTAAGTTTATGGCTGTCCAAGCAGGCTGAGACAGATAGGTCAGAGGAGGAAGCTGGGGGCCTTCTTCAGGATTGGCATTTGTCTTATCTGCCTCAGCTCCACGGAGGCCCTCAGCATTTGTTGAATGAGTGGAATGGGTAACCAGACAAGACCCCTGTTCAGTTTCTAAACACTCTGCTCATTTAAAAGTGCAAAGCTGGGAGGCCGAGGCGGGTGGATCACCTGAGGTCAGGAGAAGACCAGCCTGACCAACATGGAGAAACCCCATCTCTACTAAAAGTACAAAATTAGCCAGGTGTGGTGGCACATGCCTGTAATCCCAGCTACTCGGGAGGCTGAGGCGGGAGAATCACTTGAACCCCGGAGGCGGAGCTTGCGGTGAGCTGAGATCGTGCGCCATTGCACTCCAGCCTGGGCAAGAAAACTCCATATCGGGAAAAGAAAAAAAAAAAGTGCAATGCTTAAAACAGAGGAGAGGGTGAGCCTTATTTGAGGCTCCTGAAAACTCTTGCCTGTGGTGTTCCAACAGCACCCTACCCAGTCTTCTTGCCTCCAGAGTGTGGACAGGGCTTCATCTCTGTGAAGACTCGAGGGGAGGAGGGTCCTTCCTTATCTCTTCCAGTTTCTGGTGGTTGCTAGCAATCCTGGGCATTCCCAGTTTTAACCTCTACCTCCATCATCACACGGCATTCTCTGTGTGTCTGTGTCCAAATTTCCTCTTCTTATGAGGACACCAGTCATTGGATTAAAGCCCGCCCTAATCCACTGACTTCATTCTAACTTGATTACATTTGCAAAGACCCTATTTCCAAATAAGGTCACATTTACAGGGACCAAGGGTGAGGGATTGAGCATATCTTTTTGGAGGTTACATTTTTCAATTCATAACAAACCCTCATGGTTTTTCTTGTCCCCAGGATCAATCCAAGATCCGTTCATGGCTATCCCATCAAGACCCTCCCTTCCTCTCCCTCCAAGCCCATCTCACTCTTTTCTTTCCTGTCCTTGGGACCAGCACACACTGGAACTTCTTGCTCCTCAGACACATTCTGCTTCCCCGGATCTCCCTTCCTTTGCTTCTACCAGCCCTCCTACTGGCAGTTCCGTTCCAAACCTTGTCCACTTCTGACTCCAGCTCATCTTGCAAGACTCACTTTGGATATCAGTTCTCCCTGCAGCCCTTCCTCACTCTCCCTCCTTCCTCTTCAGATAGAAGCAACCTTTCCTCCCCCATAGTACCCTCTACCTAATTCAGTTGCAGGCCCTGTAATACTTCACTGCATCAGTGTGTCTGTCTCCCTCACTTGACCATGATCCTCTTATGAACAGACACTGTCCTCAAGGCCCAGCCCAGAGCCCAGCATACAATAGACCAGTGGGTGCAAATTGGAGGCTCAAGGGCTAGATATGGCTGAACAGATGTGTTTTTCTTCAGTCTGCATGACATCAACCAGAATTGAAGATAGCTACCAACAATTACATCCAGAAAATTTCTCATAAAAATCTGTAATTCCCACCTCTTTTGAGAAAGAGGAGGATCTGGCCGTCTCAGATCTTTGTCCCCAGCCAGCAAGAACCTACTGAAGCTGAATCACTACTGTCACTGTTGCGTTCTTTTTTTTTTTTTTTTTTTTTTTTTTTTGAGACAGAGTCTGGCTCCGTTGCCCAGACTGGAGTGCAGTGGCACAATCTCGGCTCACTGCAACCTCCGCCTCCAGGGTTCAAGCAATTCTCCTGCCTCAGCCTCCCAAGTAGTTGGGACTACAGGCTCATGCCACCATGGCCGGCTAATTGTTGTATTTTAGTAGAGACAGGGTTTTCACTGTGTTGCCCAGGCTGGTCTTGAACTCCTAAGCTCAGGCAATCTGCCCACCTCAGCCTCCCAAAGTGCTAGGATTACCCATGAGCCACCACGCCCGACACTGTTCCATTCTTTGGACAGGGCCTTTGCTCCCCAGTTGTATTGGGACACAACCATGCCTATTCATTTGTTCCTTGTCTATGGCTGCTTCTACATGGCAACATCAGAGTTGAGTAGTTGCGAGGGAGATCATACAGCCCCAGATATTTACTATCTAGCTTGCACTAGTTTCTTGTGGCTGCTGTAACAAACTACTACAGAATTGGAAACCCCAAACCAGCTAGATTTTTTGTCTCGCAGTTATGGAGGCCAGATGTCCGAAGTCAGTTCTACTGGGCTGACATCAAGATGTTGGCAGGGCATCCTCCCTTCAGTGGCCTGAGGAGAGAGTCCCTCTCTTGCCTCTTCCAGTTTCTCCTGGCTGCAAGTATTCCCGGACTTGCAGCCACATCATTCCAACCTCTGGCCTCATGGTCTCCTACACTAATCATTTTTTGTCTTAAGTCTCCCTCTGCCTCTTCTGCCCAAATGTGAGCATTTGGGGCTCACCCAGATGATTCTGGATAATCTCCTCATCTCAAAATTCTTAACATAATCACATCTGTAAAGGCTCTTTTTCCAAATAAGTTAACATTTATGGGCTTTAGGGGTGAGGATATCATTGGTGGAGGGAGGCGGATCATTTTTCAGCCTATCTCATGTCCCTATACAAAAAAGCTTTGCTGACCCTTGTTCTGGAAGGACAAGGAAGCTTGCCCGAGATGGGACAGCTCCTACCTCTGATTCTGCCCTTCTGGAAGCCCCAGGCTCACTCCACATCTGTATCTGGGGTCACACCAGGGTTCTCCATTTTGTTAGATACTCCCTAGGGCTGCCTTGATCTCCCTCATACCTGCCTCCCTCCTCTTGAAAAAAAAAAAAAAGAAAAGAAAAAGAAAGAAGAAGAACAAAACAACACCAACATCTGCAGCATTTCTTGACCTTCTGGTCCTGCTTTTCTCCCCCCCTGTGGCCCAGCACTATCCTCAGGGACAGAAAGAATGAGGGAAGTTTCTAGCAGAAAAGGTCTATTTTCCAATGTAGGATCCTTTCTTCCAGGCTTAATGGCTTTTTCAGATGTCCTAGGAGGGTTTTGCCCCATCCTCTCTGGGCTAAAACTGCTCTCCAGACAGCCTAGTGCAGCCTCATGCACACAACCACCCTTCCCACATTAAACGGCTGTGCTCCCCAACCCTCAAACAAACCTGCTTCCAAGCAGCAGCTGCCTAAGAAATGTACTCCCTCTCCCCTTTCTAATTTTGACCGTTGGAAGAGAGATCTAGATTCGTTTCTGAGTGTCTTCCTTGGCCAGTAAAACTGTAGCACAAATGTCATGAATGACCATTTGCTTTGGGAATGAATGAATACCACAGAGACTCACGGGTAATCTCCATGTGCAGTGTGCATTGTTTAATATAGTCCCCAAGCTTGAAAATGAATAATGGGCATTGTTCATCTTTTGTAGGGTATTTGAAATGGCCAGTCATGTACACCGAATATGATGTAGATGTATTTGGGCATCAGTGTGTCCTGTGACCCTCCCCTGTGAGGGAGGCAGGCAGATATTATCTCCATTTTAAAGAAGGAAAATTGAGGCTCAGAAAGATCAAGTAACTGGCCTAATGTCAGACAGCTAGTAGATGCAGACCTGGTCCTGGTGCCCATTCTTCACCAAGTGTTGTTTCCACCAGCCTGGGCAGGGGCCACTGTGCTGTGTTACAGATGCAGTGCACAGGGGCCCAAAGAGCCTGGCAGGGAGGTTAGGGGTGGCTTCTGGTCACCAACTCTGTGGTTGAACCTTTTTCCTCCGGTACTCAACTTTCAGAATTTTAACATCTCCATGGTGGACAACTTCAGAGGGCAAGGCTGGTTATATACCATGGAATACTATGCAGCCATAAAAAAGAATGAGTTCATGTCCTTTGCAGGGACATGGATGAAGCTGGAAACCATCCTTCTCAGCAAACTAACACAGGAACAGAAAACCAAACACTACATGTTGTCACCCACAAGTGGGAGTTGAACAATGAGAACACATGGACACAGGGAGGGGAACATCACACACCAGGGCCTGTTGGGGGGTGAGGGGCAAGGGGAGGGAGAGCATTAGGAAAAACACCTAATGCATGTGGGGCTTAAAACCTAGATGATGGGTTGATGGGTGCAGCAAACCACCATGGCACATGTATACCTCTGTAACGAACCTGCACGTTCTGCACAGGTATCCCAGAACTTAAAGTAAAATAAATAAATAATAATAATAACTGAACACATATGTGTTAATTGAACACATATGTGCCAGGCACTCTTCCGTGTGCTACATATCGAGTAATCCATTTAATCCTCCCAGCATCCTTATAGAATGGGTGCTCTTGCTATAGTTACCTTACAGAGGAGAAAACAGAGACACAGAACTGTTAAGAGCCTTGACTCAGGGCCTTACACCTATTAATTGGGGAATATGGAATGTCAGGAACCATGTAGTTGCTGTATTATATGATGGGTAAGGAGGGTCTCTCCAACGAAGCAGAGACATGAACAAGGACAGAGACAGAGAGAGCCATGTGGGTTTCTGGGAGAAGAGGTTTTAGAACAAGGGAACATCAAGTGCAAAGGCCCCGAGGTGGTAGCAAACTCGGGGTGTTCTAGGAGCAGCACGAGGAGCAGAGAGAGTGACGAGGAGAGGCAGAAGATGAGGGTAGAGATGTTATGGGGATAGGGAAGAGCAGATCACACAGGCCCTGTGGCTCATGGTAAGGAGTTTATTTTATTCAGTGGGAGATGGGAAGTCATTGCAGAGCATTGAGCAGAAGAGTGGCATTTGACTTACATCTGAAGGCATCACCACTCTGCTATGAGAAGAGATTGGTTGTGGGGCAAGAACAGAAATAGAGAGAGCATATGGAGGTGAATTTGCCTTGGATCAGGAGTTAGTGATAGATGTGGTAAAACGAGGTCAATTCTGATTTTATTTTGAAGGAGAATTTGCTGATGGATTGGATGTGGAGTGCAAGAGAAAAAGTTAAGGGTGACTCCAAGGTTTCGGGGCTGAGCAAATGAAAGGAGCTGCCATCAACTGAGATGGGGAAAGCTGCAGATTGAACAGTCAGGGGGGCTAGAAGTCAGGGTTTGCCTGCTGACATATTAGACTAGAAATGCCTATTAGGCCTCCAATGGGACATGTTAAAGAAGCAGTTGAATCTATGTAAATTTGGGAGTTGTCAACACATGGATGATATTTAGTCATGAGACTGAATGAGATCAATAGGGGAGGGAGTGTGGAGAGAGAAGAGCAGAGCCAGGAGTGCTACAGTGTTTAGAAGTCAGGGAGAGGCCAGGCGCAGTTGCTCATGCCTGTAATCCCAGCACTTTGGGAGGCCGAGACAGGCGGATCATCTGAGGTCGGGAGTTCGAGACCAGCCTGACCAACATGGAGAAACCCCATCTCTACTAAAAATACAAATTTATCTGGACATGGTGGCGCATGCCTGTAATCCCAGCTACTCAGGAAGGCTGAGGCAGGAGAATAACTTGAACCCGGGAGGCGGAGGTTGCGTTGAGCCGAGATCGCGCCACTGTACTCCAGCCTGGGCAACAAGAGCAAAACTCAGTCTCCAAAAAAAAAAAAAACAAACACAGAAGTCAGGGAGATAAGGAGCCACCGGCAAAGTTGACTGAGTTCAACTCAGCTGATGAGAATCAAGAGTGAGAGAGTGGTGTCCCAGAAGCCAAGTGAGGAAAGTGTTTCAAAGAGGTGGAATGATCAACTATGTCAAGTGCAGCTTCATAGCGAAGTAAAACAAGAGCTGAAATTCTGCCATTATATTTGGCAACATGGAGGTCATTGATGACCATAGCAGGTGGAGGGATGGGAGTGAGGTCGAGAGAGAATGAAAGAGAGAGCAGAATCCAGAGGTATAGACTTTTTGCTGTAAAGTAGAACAGGGGGGAAATGGGTGGTAATTGATGGTGAATATAGGGTCAAGAAAGGGTTTTTATTTTTAAGGAAGATATTACAATGGCGTGTTGAAATGAATGGAAATGATCCATTAGAAAAAGAAAAGTGGATGCCGGAGAAAGAGGAGATGTGGGTGGAGCATTGTCCTAGAATCGGCGAAAGGGGTGATACCTAGAGCACAAGTGAAGGGTTTCCATGGAGTAGGAGCACAGGGTTCATGCAAAGGAGCAAGAGGGAAAGCAGGGTATATGGAATAGGTACTGGAAGGTGGGTAGATGTGGTGCTGAGAGCTTTGGCAGTTCTCTTCTTATTGCTTCTAATGTTTTCAATGAAATTTGAAACAAAATCATCGTCACTGAGAATCTAGAGGAGAAGGACATATGAGAAGTGTGAGATGAAAGGAAGCAATGTTAAATAGTTGCCTGGAAGAGTAGGAGAATGAATGGGCTCAGGAAGTACTATGGGATGAGTCCTGCAGTTCATGGTCACAGTTTTCTCCAGCCATGTTCAGATGTGGTATATTTTTGCAACCAAGAGAAAAAATAAGATAAAACAGAGTGTTTATAGTACATAGAAAGGCAAGATTTGTTTTGAACATATATTTGAAATGCCCATGGGATACACACATTAGATATCCAGGAAGCAGTTGATTATACATATATGGCTTGGAGCTCAGAAGGAGGTCTGGGATAAAGGTAGAATCATCAGCAAAGAGGTGGCGATTGAACCTGAGAATGTAGGTGAGGTCTCCCAGGAAAGAAATATAAAGAGAAGAGAGTTGGGCATAAACTTGGGAAACATCCTAATTTTAGGGGTAAAAAGAGGAAAGCCATCCATCAAAGAAGGCAGAGAAAGGGGCGAATATGTAGATGAAGCATGTCTTTCCAGCAGCCTAGAAATGAGACAGTTGAAAGAAAAGGAGTATAAAGTTATTCAGGGAGACCAAGGAGAAGGAGAAAGACCACTGAATTTTCCCAGAAGGAAGCCAGAGCTGGGTTATCTCAGGGCACTTAGCAGAAATGCAAAGAAAAGGAAATCATGAGCAAAAAGATAGGGGGCATGAAGGAACAGACCCAACAGAGCTATGTGCAAATAATTGGAACTTTGGAAGGAGAGAGAGGAGTAACTGGAAGAGAAATGATACTTTTAAAGATATAATAGAAGAAAATGTCTCTGAACTAAAGAAATACCTAATTTGTCTGATCAAAGGGGTGACATGTTAAACTAGAAATGCGTGTTAGACATCCAGGGGAAGATGTTGAAGAAGCAATTGAGTCTAGGTAAATTTGGGAGTAGTTAACACATAGATTATATTTAAAGTCATGAGGCTGAGTGAGATCAACAAGAGAAGGAAGTGTTGGTAGAGAAGAGTCCCCAAGTCCTAGAAAGATGAATGATAAAATCAATACAAAGACAAAATCTGGTGACAATTCTGAGCTCTAAAGAGAAAATCCTAAATGTTCTCAGAGAAAGAAAGATTACAGTCTACTTACAAAGAAAATAAAAGAAAAGAAAGCTGATACCGGATTACTCATCTGCAACAATGTAAGTTCAAAGACAGTGGAATAATGTTCTTACACTAATGAAAGACATGAATATGAACTAGAATTCCCTTACCTAGTCATGACGCCATTCATATTAGAGGGGCTCTAACACCCTAGGATACCATCCATAGGCCCTTTCTGAGGAAATTACTTAAGGATGTATTCCAATCAAATGAAAATTCAGTCAAAACATGGATCTCAAAATGAGGGAAGATAAATCATGCAAATAAGAGTGTGTGTGTGCATGTATGTGTGTGTGTGAAGTCACCAGCAATCATTTGAAGGAGCAATCCTAGGAAAGTAGTGGGAGCAGAAACTGGATTGCAGGGGACATGAAAGCAGTAACCAGATAATATTCCTTTAAGAAACGTGGAGACAAAAATAAGAAGAGAAGGCTACTTGAGGGTCAGAAGAACACTTGACTTTATTTACGAAAGCAAAACCCCAAGTGTGCTTGTGGGCAGAGGAAAAGGAGTTGTGAGTAGGCAGGTGTGCAAAGTACACAAATAACATGTGTAGCATCCCTGATGCGCAGTAGGGATTGAGTCAATTCCGATGATTGGAGAATAGGATTCATTCTATCCCGGAAGGCACAGGCCTATAACTGATTTGGATTTGGAAGGGAGGGAGAGATGTAAGAACTGTCAGGGGAAAGAAGGAAGTTGAGACCATGGGGTCGCAAATGGTCTACTGTGGATACCCAACTGTCTATCAGAATTGCACACGTAAGTCCTGTATTTTAGTATCAGCGTATTTAATTCTATAATCTGGAGTGTTGCCCAGTCAGTGCAGCATTCAGCTGGAATCTGTCTATACCCATTCCCACTCAACCAAAGTAAACCTCTGGAAAGGTTTATTCTGAAGGGTACAAGGGACTGATACTTTATTTATTTAGAGGAAGGATGAATTGGAGCATATCTGGGAATCCTAGACTGGGTACCTGGGGGAAAACATCAAGATATTTGGTTCTCAGTGACATGATGAAAGTAGAAGGGCTCACGGAGGTGGGGACAGGAGCCTAGGACAAAATCAGGTGATGATGTGAAACAGCAGTGCATAAGAATAGGATTGGCTGTGCGATGCAATAGGTATGGCCTTCTGGGTGCGGAGATTCAAATCTTGGCTTTCATTCACTGTGGGTCATTGAGAAAATGATTCCACTTCTCTGAGCATCAGGTCCCTCATCTATAAAAGATGGCAACAGCAGTGACCTTGCAGAACTGCTGTATCACGCTGATTGAACAGGTTGTTGTGGAGGGCCTACTATGTGCCAGGCATTGTTTCCAGTGCTGGGAATTTCTTGGTAAAGAAAATTGTACATGTTTCTTCCTCCTGGAGCTTCTATTCTAGGTGATCATGAGAAGTAGAAGAAGAAAGCCTGCAGATACACAGCTGGGGTCATGGAAAGCACAAAAGGTGCTCAGCACATACCCACTTCCACCTGATCCCTTCCCTAAGTGCCTTTTCCAAAGGCTCTATATCTCACCCACGCCCCAGTCTTTCTCCCCATGTCGGGCAGAATTGTATGGCTCCAAATACCTCCTCCAGTTCTCCAAACCACAGAGGTGCAAGCTACCTGGTTTTTCAGCAGAAACAAAAACCAAACAAATGAACAACAACAACAAAAACCTTGAAAACCAGCCTCTCTCATCTGGACAAAGAGCTGGAAGAGGAAGCCTAGTGCTTGGAGGGCCCCTGGGTTTACAGGACTGGAATCTCAGACCCAGCTTATAAGGGATTACTCTCTATAAGTTCTCCATCTCAGATTGGCTCCTGGCCCTTCTCTAAGGTTCTTCCACACAGCCTGAGTTTGACACATAAGCTCCAACCATTCAAAAACACAAGATCCTGCATTCAGTGGTGTGTGATCTTTTTTTGAACACCCAATCTTTGTCTCTGTGCAAAGGGGTGCACAGTCCCCCAGCCTTCCTCCTCCCCTTCTCTATCTCTAGCCTTTCCCAGGCCTCCCGCTCCTGCCAGCCATGCCCAAACTCTTAACGCTCACGTGTCCAGCTCTCCCAGGAGTAGTTTCCGTTTGTGGCGAACCCTCCTTGCTATGCGACCCTCCTCCACTGTCACCCTCTCGCCTGTCATTTTCTCATTATCGTCACCACCCCAGCCCCAAAGTTGTCCTCCACTTTCCTGTTTTTCAATTAAACCTTGTCCTATCAGGAATCCTCAGCCACCTTGTTCTGTGGTTACCAGAGAGGAAAATGACAGCATACAGGGGGAAATTCCCACTGATCGGCCTCAAGGACTTGGCCAGAGATATCCCGGGAGGAGTGAGAAGCTGCAGAGACCCCAGGGCAGATGAAGTGGGCGAGCGAGGTTTGTGGCGGGTGTGGGATGGGGTGTATTTTCTTTCCTCGCCTTGTACTTTCTTTTCACAGCTGCTGCTCCTTGAAGACCCCGACATTCCAGTTCCCAGAGCTAATTTTAACTTCTTGGGACTGGCTTGTTCTGAGTGACCCTCACCACTGCCTCTCTGGCCCTCTGGTGCACACAGTCCACACTCACACACTCTCTCGCTCTCAAACCAGGGAAAAATAGTTGTCATCCAGGCCAGCAAACGGCGAGGTCTCAAAGACCCTCAGGAAGCCGGAAACTGGACAGTGGGGTGGGGTGGGGGCGCAGGATGGGGCCCTGGAAGGACAAGAGGGTGGGGGTGGGGAACAACTTCCTGCCTCCCAAATAAGGAGATGATGTCAATCGGCTCAGTCATGATTTCACAACCTACTTAAGAGCTTTGAGGAGAGAGACTATGAGGGAGGAAGAATGTCCATGAATCAGAATGAGGACAGATGGCAGAGGCTTGCCATTGCTCCCCACCACTGCAATGTTCACACATGTGAACTTCAACCTGCTGAAGGGGCTGAGTTCAGATTCACGCCTTGGGGTCTCCAGTCAGGAGATAGAATTTGCAGTAAGTTTTAAATGCCCCTAATTCCATAGTGGGGAGGCACCAAGAGTCAGAGACATCACGTGACTTCCCCCAGTTTGGGATATTAGCGGGAGATTATGTAAATCCACAGCCAGAGCCAACACTGGAACCCCAGCCAAGACCAGAACCTGCCTTCCAGCCCAGTGTTCTTCCAGGCCACGAGGCTGCCTTCTGCTGCGTTTCTGATCCATTTCTCGTGATCCGAAAGCAGCCCACTGGTTCCTCCAGCACCCGCAGCAGTGAGGCTGTTGGGTCATTCTCTTCCAAACTTGCTTTCTCAACGCAGTCTTTGCCGGCTTCTCTACAAAGGGTGAAGTTGGGGGTTGGGGGTGACATCCATGGGGAAATGAGTGGGCCCCAGCCTGGGAGTGGTGAGCAGTTACAGAAAACGGGGACATTTTGTTTCTGTGCTTGATCCTCTGTCTGCCAGTTCCTTAAGAAAGCTGATTAAAAATGGGGTCTTCGCCAGGCACAGTGGCTCACACCTGTAATCTCAGCACTTTGGGAGGCCGAGGCGGGTGGATCACCTGAGGTCTGGAGTTCGAGACCAGCCTGGCCAACCTGGAGAAACCCCGTCTCTACTAAAAAGTATATACAAAAATTAGCTGGGTGTGGTGGTGGATGCCTGTAATCCCAGCTAGTCGGGAGGCTGAGGCAGGAGAATCACTTGAATCCGGGAGGCAGAGGTTGCAGTGAGCCGAGATTGCGCCATTGCACTCCAGCCTGAGCGACAGAGTGAGACTCAGTCTCAAAAAAAAAAAGGGGGGGGGGGCTTCTACACCAAATTTTGGAGGCATCAGTCATCAGCAGCAATTGTCCGCTTCCCTCAAATCCTCCCCCTACTATCTCAGCCTGCTTTTCCATACCCTGATCTCCTTCCCCTTTCCTTTCAGCTTCATCTACTTTCTTCCCTGAGCTTGGGATCCTGGCCTTTCCTCACCTGGGGAAGTGAAAAAACAAAACAAAAACAAACAGAAAAAAAGTTTCCTACTAAGGCAGAATCCTCCATTGGCTTCACCTGTCAGACTCCCAGTCACTCCAGACACTCTCCATCTCGATATACTGGATTGCCCGGGCAGTACTGCATGGCTACCAGCATGCAGACTGTCTGGATTTGAGTCCTGGCTCTGCCTCGGTTTTCACATCTGTAAAATGGAAATAAACAGTGTAGGGTTGCCTTGAAGACTAAATGAGCTCATATGATATGTACCAATGTAAAACTTCATCAAGAAGTACTCTTAAGATTAGAGCACTTGGCCAGGCGTGGTGGCTCACGCCTGTAATCCCAGCACTTTGGGAGGCCAAGGCAGGCGGATCATGAGGTCAGGAGATCAAGACCATCCTGGCTAACATGGTAAAACCCCATCTCTACTAAATAATGCAAAAAAAAAATTAGCCAGGCGTGGTGGCAGGCGCTTGTAATCCCAGCTACTCGAGAAGCTGAGGCAGGAGAATGGCGTGAACCCGGGAGGCGGAGCTTGCAGTGAGCTGAGATAGTGCCACTGCACTCCAGCCTGGGCGACAGAGTGAGACTCCATCTCAAAAAAAAAACAACAACAACAAAAAATAGATCACTTTACTAATTTACTGTGTATATGTTATGTTACACTTTAAAAAAAAGATGAAATGAGTTCATACATTCAAAGCATTCAAAACAGTGTCTGGCACATAGTAAGCACTCAATAAGATACTAATTGTTGTTATTGTAGCTATTGTTATTTAGCCTTGGTCCCCTTGAGGACTATGTGATTAATATTCCTTGCTCCTAAGTGTCTAGAGTAATGAAAGTATCTCCTATTTGACTCATGCTTTCTGGCTTACCAAGCTCTTCCCTGTGCATTCTCTCAACAGCCCTTTGAGATGATTACTATTTTCCTTACCTTACAAATGGGGAAGCTGAGGCTCAGAAAGAAGGAGTTGACTTGCCCCAGATCATCCTATCAATAAGTGGGAACCAGGGCGTGCCCCCAAGTCCATGTGACTTTCATGCAAGGGCGCCCGCCCCACCTCGCTCTGTCCATCAGCAGACCTGTTCTTCTATATCACCTGACTTCCTGGTTGCAGACACTGGGTTTCGCGACCCTGGCCATCTTTATGCCCTTTAGGAAGTGACCTCCCCAAGGTCTCATGGCTTAATACACCAAAGCTGAAATAGATCCCAGGTATCCTGAATTAATTTCTAATCTGGCACCATTTCCACCACAACCTTTTATCTTGTTGGTCCTTTTCCAATTCAGATGTGTTATAACAAAGAGAAAGACATTTTCTGTTTGTTTGTTGTTCCCACTGAGTTAAAGAAACTAAAGCCATTGCATTAGGAATTAGGGGAAAGACGTATGGACAGGGAGCAAGAGGGTGCCAGTCCCAGCCCACCGCTATAACCCTGAGGAAGGATGTATGGACGGGGAGAAGAGGGTGCCAGTCCCAGCCCACTGCTATAACCCTGGGGAAGGACGCATGGACAGGAGCAAGAGGATGCCAGTCCCAGCCCACTGCTTTAACCCTGAGGAAGGATGTATGGACAGGGAGCAAGATGGCGCTAAAATCCTACCCCACTGCTATAAACGTGCTGCCTTGAGTCCCTTCTCTTGCACTTAGGGTTCAAACTACTGGCTCGTTCTGTCTTCAGGAAGATGGCACCCTCTGGAGTCTGTGAAATGAGAAAACCGATGCCATCACCCACCCAAGCCCTCGCTAAGGACAGGTGGCACTCAGGGCAGACTCCTGAGACTCCTCACTCCAGCATCTGAGTCATTCACAAGCCCCGCAGGACCCCGTTTTCAGGTCTTCCCCTTCCCCATCCCGTATCCGACAATCTCCGGGTGCAGTTATTTTAAGGAAAATTCCACCAGGCAAAACCTCACAGAGACACTAATGTTTGAGGGTTTGGTTCTTCCTGCCTCCCATTGGAGACTGGTTTTGAGGTTGTTTCGCTGAATCACTGGGTGAAAAGTAAATAAATAAATGGAGGAAGGAAATCTTGCTTTAAAAGGAATTTTGTGGCCTCCCCGCAAAACAAAGCAGCTGTTATCACCAAAGAAATCTGCAGGACCTGACCTCTCTGGGACTATACTGCATTCTGGGGTTTCAGAGGCACCCCCACCAGAAGCACCTGCCCCACTGCCTTCAAGAGGTGCTCAAAACTGGGCTGCCAGCCCTCAGGAGCAAGCTGGCTAAATCCCATGGCCTCTGGGAAGCCTGACCTTGCTGTTGTCCCCCCACTCCCTTCCAGGGTCAGTGAAGGGCTAGGAGTGACCTGCCCTGGGGTGTTGACATTCTGCAAATTTGCTCAGCTTCCTTTTGGGATCTCACACCCCTTCTCGTGACTCACGCGCATGGCTTCTATCGGCCACCCCTTGCCTCTCTCTCATGTCCCATTTCTTCCCTGGGCTCCTGCTCCTCATAAAAACCAAAGGAAAGAGAGCTTTTGGTAATCAACTAGTCCAATCCCCTCAACTTGGCAATATGGAAACTGAGGCCAGGAAAGCAACAGTAACCGGCACTGGGTCACACAGCACCTTTGCAGCAAGGTTAACACTAGAACTGAAGATGCATTGCCCCCTGCAGCATTTGACCAGCAGATGACCCAGTGGGCTTCAACTCTCCACCTCCCAGCCCTCAGAGGCTGGCAGCAGCTGCTGTCCTCTAGATTGAAGAGCTGGCTGGGACACCGTGTACCCCGGGAGCTCCCCCTGCTAGAGGGAACAGACTGGAAATGGGAGGTTGAGAGGAACATTGTAAGACAGGAACCCCTTACAATATCTATGACGCCAGTGTTTCCTTGACCCTGGACCAGCTGCCTGGGCAGTGTGAAGTGTCCTGGCCCATCATAGTCTTCTAAAGCATCTCACTCTCAAATATACTCAAAGTTTCTCTTTGGTCCTGCTAAAAATCTATCCATTGCTCTGGTTCCAACTCACTCCCAGTACCCCTGGCATTTGAGGCCTGCTGACATTTTCCTCATCTTCTCTCCCTGTCTGTCTTTACACCGCCCCTCTGAACCAGTGGGGAAGGACAGAGGAGCCCCACCCTCAGAGCCTGGTGAATTTCAGAAGCCTGGGCACTGTGGGTGTGGGCTAGGGTAGACGGTGGGAGGCTGGTGTGATGTGAGCTCTGCCCACGGGGGGCCCTGCATGTGCCTTCTGTCAACCTCCCCTGACTGTGGTGGAAGGGAAGACCACTCCAAAAGGAATGTCCACCTCATGCCCACTCTGAGACCCTGGGCACATGACATTACTTACCATCTCTGAGCCCCGTTTCCTCATGTGTGGGATGTCACTCCCCTTCATCCCACTTCGAGAACGAGATTTAGCAGCATAACTTGGGGAAGAATAAAGCTCCAAGCATGCAGGAGGTGCTCAGTAATTGTTTGCTTCTCCTCTCCTTCAACCGAAGGGCAGGGCAGGAGCAGAATGGAGGGAGACCTTCCTTTAGACTCAATCAAGGAAGGGCCGCAGGCCTGCATGGGTGCTGGCTGTTGGTGCGTGGCTGTTGGCTGGGGGCGGGTGGGTGCTGGCTGGGGGGTACGTGGGTGCTGGCTGGGGGGTGAGTGGGTGCTGGCTGCGGATGCATGGGTGCTGGCTGCTGGTGGGTGGGCGCTGGCTGGGGGCACGTGGGTGCTGGCTGGTGGTGGGTGGGTACTGGCTGCTGGTGGGTGGGTGCTGGCTGGGGGTGGGTGGGTACTGGCTGCTGGTGGGTGGGTGCTGGCTGGGGGTGGGTGGGTACTGGCTGGGGGTGGGTGGGTGCTGGCTGCTGGTGGGTGGGTGCTGGCTGCGGGTGCGTGGGTACTGGCTGCTGGTGGGTGGGTACTGGCTGCTGGTTGGTGGGTGCTGGCTGGGGGTGGGTGGGTACTGGCTGGTGGTGGGTGGGTGCTGGCTGATGGTGGGTGGGTGCTGGCTGGTGGTGCGTGGGTGCTGGCTGGGGGTGCCGTGGGTGCTGACTGGGGCTGGGTGGGTGCTGGCTGGGGGTGGGTGGGTGCTGGCTGATGGTGGGTGGGTGCTGGCTGGTGGTGCGTGGGTGCTGGCTGGGGGTGCCGTGGGTGCTGGCTGGGGGTGGGTGAGTGCTGGGGGTGGTAGGAATGTAGGAATCAGGCAGGTCGAGGGTGGATGGGGACATTTCTCCTCACCACCAGCTCTGTCAAGACAAGGGTCTCAGAACTGCCAGATCTCAAGGTTGGAAGAAATTACATTCCAAAATGTCAAGTAGTCTAGTCACAGGCTGATTTGAAAACACTCTTCTGTTAGCTGTGCCATGATTGAGAATTTCATCCCAGCCTGATGGTAGCAGGACCACGATTTTCATGGTCAACTAATAGTCGTTGAGCCCCTTGTACATATCCTGGGCTTTCTCATATTTGGTCCTTTCAAGAGCCCCATGGTGTGACCATCCATTTACCAAGAGGGAATTGACAGTTCCGGAAGATTAAATAATTTCCCCAAGCCTACACGGCTAATAATTTCATGTCATGAATATTTGTTGAACACCTCATGTGTGCTGGCTAGGCCTGGGAATGCAGCAGTGGAAAGGCAAGCTGGATTCCCTGTCTAATTCTGGGGCTCCTTCCACCTCCTCTTGCTTCTGTCTCTTCCATCTGGCGACCACAACTGAATACAGGGCTTAAAGAACTTAGAGAGATATTGAGAGGTTGGGATATAATCTTATGAGTAAATCTTAATGATGTGGTTAATGGTCCTCCATGGGGACAGGACCCTCCCTTGAAATGCAGTTTGGAAACTTGTGGGAAGACTTTTGGTTATCATCACAAGCAATGGGCACTATGGGCAGATAGTCAGGGGGACTGGGAATGCATACAGGATACTCTGCACAGCCAACAGCTGTCCTGCTACCCACAGGACTGTTGGATTTGGTCCTACCAGACACCATATAGGTGAAAAGTCATTTATAATTATCTGAGCCTAGAACCTAATTCCATATTAAATTCAAACACAAAGTATTTAGGCAGTGTGTTAGTCAGGGTTCCCAAGAGGGACAGAACTAATAAGACATATATATATATATATATATGAGTTTAGTAAGTATTAACTTACACAATCACAAGGTCCCACAATAGGGGCTGTCTGCAAGCTTGAGGAGCAAGGAGAGCCAGTCTGAGGCTCAAAACTGAAGAACTTAGAGTCCGACGTTTGAGGGCAGGAAGCATCCAGCACGGGAGAAAGATGTAGGCTGGGAGGCTAGGCCAGTCTTGTCTTTTCACATTTTTCTGCCTGCTTTATATTCACTGGCAGATGATTAGATTGTGCCCACCAGATTAAGGGTGGGTCTGTCTTCCCCAGCCCAGTGACTCAAATGTTAATCTCCTTTGGCAACACCCTCACAGACACACGCAGGATCAATATTTTGCATCCTTCAATCAAGTTGACACTTAGTATTAACCATCACAAGTCCACCCCTTGTTAACTTGAACCCATACACATCTCCTCAGATCATACATAATCTTCAAATAAAGACAATAATAAGGTCATAATTATGCCTAACATAATACAACTATCCTTGGTACAACCGGAAACAAACCAATCCCCAACCTAAATACTATTACATAAAGTTAACAATATTTAAATGCTGATATGAAGTCAATAAATCTTATGTGGCATGATAAAGGAAAAGGAAATAAAATGAAAATATTTTCTTAGTACAAGTGTATAAATGCACAAACATGTTTTTTAACCAAAGAAGGAGGAAATACTCATGACAGTTACAGTCCTCGTTTCTGCAGCTGGTCACATGGTCATAGCTGGTATTGATATTGCCTTCTTTTACTACGCATTTTGTATTCCCTTTGCCTTCAGCAAGCATCTCAGCAGGTCGTGGTTTTTTTCCTGGTGGAGTGACCCAAACCTTCATTCCTGAGGGGGTCTGGGTCACTTGTAGTCCTGCCTGGATTGGGCTGTTGTAGTTTCCCATTGACCTTAATCACAGGGCATGGTAATACTAAGAGATGTCCTAATGGATCTCCTGTATTCCACACATACTCTTCCTTGCCTCCTTTATGGAGTAGTAGACTGATTTCATCTTGATAGTCGGGGTCGATCAACCCAGCCACCACTGTAACTCCCTTCTTAGCTTGTGGACTTAAAGGTAGGAGGAGCCCAGGCCGGGCACGGTGGTTCACGCCTGTAATCCCAGCACTTTGGGAGGCCAAGGCTGGCGGATCACCTGAGGTCAGGAGTTAGAGACCAGCCTGACCAACATGGAAAAACCCCGTCTCTGCTAAAAATACAAAATTAGCTGGGCGTGGTGGCGCACCGCTGTAATCCCAGCCACTCAGGATGCTGAGGCAGGAGAATCGCTTGAACCCAGGAGGCGGAAATTGTGGTGAGCCGAGATTGCGCCATTGCACTCCAGCCTGGGCAAGAAGAGCAAAACTCCACCTCAAAAAAAAAAAAAAAAAAAAGGTAGGAGGAGCCCAAAGTGTCCAGATGGCAATCTTAACTCCAGTTTAATAGAATCATTGTTGTGTCTCCTGGTGGCAGTGTTCCTCCCTCTGGAACTAAGACCTATATGCCAGCAGAATGTAATGGTGTGAGAACAGGAAGCAAAAGCAAAAATCATGCTAGTGGATCACTAGGGGTGATGATGAGTGGCAGGAAGCACTTTCAATATTTGCTTTTCCTCCAAACCACCCCCCCTCAAAAAAAAGTGCAACCACTGTGTCAATTAAGGGACAATTATACTTTGCTTTATTTGAAACATTTCCGACAGTTGTTAATCATTTCAAAAAATCAAGTCACTGATGACAATGGCAATCCTACTTCTGGCATTTGAGTTGTTAATGAAACATTTCAGTTGGTGTGTTAGGCTTTTCTTTCATTGCTATAAAGAAATACCCAAAACTGGATAATTTACCAAGAAAAGAGATTGACTGGCTCATGGTTCTGCAGGTTGTACAGGACTGGCCCCGACACCTGCTCAGTTTCTGGTGAGGGCTTCAGGGAGCTTCTACTCATGGTGGAAGGCAAAGTCACATGGTGAGAGAGGTGGCTAGGAGTCAGGGGAGGTGCCACACACTTTTGAACAACCAGATCTCACGAGAGAGAATTCACTTACTATACTGAGGACAGCACCAAACCATGAGGGATCCACTCCCATGACCCAAACCCCTTCAACCAGGCCTCACCTCTAACACTGGGATTACATCTCAACGTGAGATTTGGAGGGGACATCCAAACTATATCAGTCGGCATGTATAGTTGTAAAATGCATGGCAATTCTATGCATAGGTGCAAGCATCAGACTGTCCATTTTCATTATAAATTATTATTTTTTATTATACTTTAAGTTTTAGAGTACATGTGCACAACGTGCAGGTTTGTTACATGTGTATACATGTGCCATGTTGGTGTGCTGCACCCATTAACTCGTCATTTAACATTAGGTATATCTCCTAATGCTATGCCTCTATAAATTATTTCTGTTTGATTTTTGCTTTATGTTACAGTTAGGGGACTCCAGTTAACTTTTTTTTTTTAATTGAACTTTAAGTTCTGGGATACATGTGCAGAATGTGCAGGTTTGTTACACAGGTATACACGTGCCATGGTGGTTTGCTGCACCCATCAACCTGTCATCTACATTAGGTATTTCTCCTAATGCTATCCCTCCCCAAGCCCCCCAACCCCCACAGGCCCCGGTGTGTGATGTTCCTCTCCCTGTGTCCATGCATTCTCATTGTTCAACTCCCACTTACGAGTAAAAACATGCGGCGTTTGTTTTTCTGTTCCTGTGTTAGTTTGCTGAGAATGATGGTTTCCAGCTTCATCCATGTCCCTGTAAAGGACGTGGACTCATTCTTTTTTATGGCTGTATAGTATTCCATGGTGCATATGGGCCACGTTTTAACTTTTTTAAAAAAAATTGTGTACGTAGGTTCACTATGAATTTTGTTTCAACATAGTACAAGGGGCATTAAGTGGTATTTGTCATAGAAGGGCATTGGTGTGTGAGAAGTTGGGGCTGGGGCCACCATGGTAGATGAAGGTTGCCCACAACAGAATGACAAAGTGTTCTTCCTCCTCCATCCTTGGAGGACAGAAGAGTGGAAGCTCTGCTTATGGGATTTGCAGTAGGCTTGGGGCATGATTTCCTGGGCAAGAAAGCTCTTTGTCTTTAGAGTAGATAAACTAATGGAAAGAACGCTGAGCTCGGAGTCAAAAGATCTGAGTTGGAATCATGGTTCTGCCACCTCCAGATGTTGGAACCAGGCAAAACTTCTCTGGTCTTTGTTTCTCCATCATCATGGGAGCCCCTTGGACCAGAATTAGGTGATCTTGCCATGTAACGTTTGAATGCTTCAAGGATTAGCTTTCAAGGGCTCTCAAGATTGCTTTCCCCTCTGGAACAGTCAGTGTGGTGGGTCTGAAGGCAGCGGGTGAAAGTGACAAGAGCATTCACTGTTTTGAACCTGGAGATGCCATCTTGAACCAGTAATTTCATTTCTCTGAGCCTTCGTTTTAGCCCAGATAAAATGGGAATTATCATAGTCCTACCTCATTGGGGTGATGGGATTTAACAAGATGACCTTTGCAAAAAGTGCTGGAACTCCATAGTTCTCAGTAAATGTTCGATGTTAGTTTCCTTCCTCCAACCTTCCCCAGACCAGTTCCCAGCCTCTGCGCCTCTGCTCTGCTCTCTAGTCCCTCAGTCCCAGTGCCAGACTTGGGAGGGAAGGACTTGGAGTTGTGCTGAGTCTCACATTGTCCTTGCAGGGGGAGCAGAGGTTAGAAGTCCCTTCCTATCCAGGGAGTTTCCACCTCCTTCTCTGGGCCAGCTGTGGGGCCCATGGAGAGAAGAGTGACTAAGATAGGGAGAATTTCTGGAGGCCTCTCTGGCCCTGAACAAGGCTCCACCCACCAGGAAAAGCACAGGAAAGTGATTTCTCAATCTGGAGACTTTGGACAAGGGTTTGGCCAATGTTACATGGAGACGCTCACCTTCCCTTTCAGCAAGTGCCGAAGGAGCAAAGGCATCAAGGTGTAGGACTGTATGGTATGCTCAGGGAACGTCTGAGGACTTGCTGGAATTTACAGTGCAGATCAGAGTGAGGGGAAGGGGGAGCCGGGTGGAGGAGCTAAGACAAGGCGAGATTCTGCAGAACTTTGTTTGCCTTGCTCAGGACCAACTCTTCACATATCAGGTCTGCGGCAGCAGGAGAGGATGGTCTGGTTGCTTGGGCAGTGTTCAGTAGTCCAGTACTGGGAGGATGACCAAAGTGCAAAGTCCTTTTTTTTAAAAGAAAGAGGCCAGGTGCAGTGGCTCATGTCTGTAATGTGAGCACTTTGGGAGGCCAAGGCGGGCAGATCACCTGAGGTCAGGAGTTTGAGACCAGCCTGGCAAACATGGTGAAACCCCGTCTCTACTAAAAATACAAAAAGTAGCCAGGCGTGGTTGCAGGTGCCTGTAATCCCAGCTACTTGAGAGGCTGAGACAGGAGAATCGCTTGAACCCGGGAGGCAGAGGTTGCAGTGAACCAAGATCGCGCCACTGCACTCTGGCCTGGGCGACAGAGTGAGACTCTGTGTCAAAAAGAAAAAAAGGAAGGGAGGGAGGGAGGAAAGGGAATCAGCTGGAGAAGAGATGAGGAGCACATTCCAAGTCAATGGAGTAGTCGTCCAAAGGCCCAGAGGTGTGGACCACCACCATGGTCCGGGGACTTCGAGTGGTTATGAGAAAGGATGGGGATTAAAAGAAGAGTTCTGGAGTCAGACAAGCCTGTGTGCAGACCACTGCTGTGCTGCCTACGTATTCTCAGAGCCTCAATTTCTCATATGGAAAATGGGGATGAGAATTCCACACAAGCACGTGAGCTCCGTGAGAGCAGGCCCCTGGCTCTCTCATTGGCTTCTGTTAGGACAAGGCCTGGAGGGCCTGGCCTGGGGTGACCCCCCTGGCTCTCTCATTGGCTTCTGTTAGGACAAGGCCTGGAGGGCCTGGCCTGGGGTGACCCCTTGGTCTGTGTTGGCCAAAGGAGGGATTGATGAAAGGCACAATGGGCGTTAAGTGTATGGGATAAATCAACACCCAAGAATAAAGATTCCTTTGGAGTGTGGGGCTTCTTAAAGATTCCATAGACGAGAATGAAAGGGTGGTGGAAACCTCGGAAGCCAGAAATAGGGACTTTTCCTGTGAAACGTGGGGAGCCAGTGAAGGTCTCTGGTGGGCTAAGAAGCCCAGCGGTGGCTGGGTGTAGGCCCCTGCTGGGGAGTCTGTTGGGCCTGGGCCCTTCCTGAGGTGGAGCCAGCCGTTCCCCAGGAAGCTCCCTATGCGTCATCGTCATGGGGCAGTCAGGGTCTTCTGGAGGCAGCTGCAGCCCCTCTAGAGACAGCCTGAGTCAGGAGTTGGGAATTTCTGGAGGTGGCCAAGTGTGGGCCCCTGGGGTTGTTCCCTGGGACTAGGAAGGAGCTCCCACCGGCCTGACTTGGAGTCATGGGATCTGTATCTGCAGGCCCACAGGACCCGTGACCTTTGACCTTTCATACAACCTGACCCTTTGACCCCAGCAGGCTCTACTGTTTGGTTTTCTGGGGGGAAAGGAGAGCTCAGGCAGAGATGGAGAGGGGCAGTGCTGCTGATGGAACCCCCATATATACATCTTCCTCAGGGGCCCCGAGGGGCTCTTCTTGGCCTCTGCTGAGGTTCTCCAGCTGGCTCACTGCCAGGAGGAAGTCCATGTTGTTTGGGACCAACCCCTGACCCTTCTGGTGGTTTCAGTGGTTCTGGGGGAGGCTGGAGCTGTTCCCCAGAGTGCTCGGTTTTCCCTTTGCTGCATTCTGGGGCTTCCACTCACCCCCGCTCCATTTCTCTGCTTCCCACACACTTCCGCCAGAGAAGCCGGCCCCCCATGCATGCTCCCCATGGTAAAACATGGCATTCACCACTCTGCACTTCAGCCTTGCCCCACCATCTCTGCTTCAGGAACTCTCTGATCTCCTGTCGATCAGAGATCGACAAGGAGCCAGGACCCCCAGAAGGAGGTTAGGTGACTGGCCGAGAGCAGGGGCTGCTTGCTTGTCTGCAAAATAAAAGAAATAGGATGCCCTTCTGGGGTGGTGGGAGGGTGAAACAAGATGAGGCCTGGACAGGGACAGCAGAGCCCCGGCACGCGGCAAGTGCTCAGAACAAATGCGGTGAGTCGTAGAAGGAGTAGCAGAAGCAGTCATTGTATTATAGTTTTTGTGATTTAATGAGTCATTTTAATTTAATCGCAGCTCAGACCCACAACCTTGTGCTGAGGGGGCTGAAGGGAGGCTGGGGCCAGAGGCAGGCCAGCTCTATCAGAGGTGGCTCCGTGGAGGAGGACAGCTCATAAATGAGCAAGATTTTGGTAGTGAGGAGAGCAAATGTTTGGTGAGAAGGATGGAGACGAATGTTCTAAACTGAGTCAGTGACCAGAAACACAGCTCTCAGTGGTTGCAGGATATCGACCTATATTTAGAGGGCACAGGCTTAGCACTTTGCACACAGTTGGTGCTTAATAAAGGATGGCTGCTGTTCCCAGCTTTACCCTCAGTAAGGATTCACAGTGAGGGCTCATCAAGTTCAATGCCTAGGGGACTCGTAGTCATGTACTCACTCAGCAAGTATTTATTAAGCATCTACTATATTTCAGGCACTGTTCTAGGAGTTGGGGATGCACCAATCAACAAATCTTGCCCTCAAGAGGTTATCATCTAATGAGGAAGTGGCAGATAATAAACGAACAACCTAGAGAATATGTAGTATGCAGTGTTTTTCCTCAGAGAAGGATCATTTATGCTTTAAAACATCAGAACATGCATAAAGCACTTAGAGAGTGCCCAGCTGACACATAGTAAGTGCTCACTAAATGCTTCCTATTATTTTAGCTCTGGCCTCACCAGTCTGAGTGTAAACCATCACTATGGCCATCATAAAACAAGATTTCTTTGGCTCTGCTTCCACTGTTTAAGCATTTTAGCCCCTGCAAGCCTTTCCTCAACGGCTCTGAGAGGGCCTGTCACAAGGTCTCCCAGAATTTGTCCTCTTGGCAAACAAGTGGCATTATTCCTCCTGTTCTGATTCTGCAACTCTGACTGAAGGTGGTGATATCCCACTGCTGTCAACACCCTCTGCCAAGGTCACCACCAGAAACTGCCTATAGGCCAGTTCTGCCGGGCACCCACAGAGGCCTGTACGCGACTGACAATGGCTGAGTCAGAGACACACCTTGCCCAAGAGAGCTGTCCCCCGATCTCTCCCATGACCACCCGCACCTGGACTCCCCAGATCCCAGGGGAACATTGGAGGGGCATGCCTTGTTTCCCTACCCCACCCCTCTTCTTTAAAAAGCACTTTCGCCTTTCCCCTGGAATTCTGAGTTAACTTCTCAGGGCCAGAGCAGAGGCCACTTCTGAGTGGCCCTGCTGCCATTTACCACTGCACTGCAATTGCGCCTGCTAAGGTCAGTGACCTCTAAAGGTCACTGCTCCATCTTACCTAATTTGACCTACAGCTGGTCCATTGCTCCTCCTTGAAACACCCCCTCCACTTTGGCTCCAGGATGACACACTCACCAGCGTCCCTCCTGGCGTCACTGGGTTACCCTTCAGCTTCAACACCGGCTGGGGGCTGGGGGCTGGGGGCTGGGCTCAGGGCTCCTGGTCCTCTTTTTCTCCCTGCCTGCACACACACCTTCATTCCTTTGTTGCTCTAACCTGGTGTCATGGTTTGAAAACCCGCAGCTCCAGATTCACATATCAGAGACTGCTATGAGGTGTCTCCCCTGGATGTCTGATGGGCCTTCACCCTCACAGTTCCAGAACTGAACTCCTGATCTTCTCCCCACCCCAAAACCTGTGCCTTCCTCAGCCTTTCCCATCCAAGTTACCTTAGGCAACTGTGCCTTAGACCCCAAACCTTGGAGTCTTCCTTGCTTGCCCCTTCTCTCACCACCCACCCTCACACCCAATCAAATCCGTTAACAAACCCTGTAATCCCAAGGTCCAGATCCCTCCAGAATCCAACCATCTCTCACCCTTCGATGCAGCCACCTTCTAGCTGGCTTTCTGGTTTCTGCCCTTGCCCTGTTTCAGTATATTCTCAGCAGAGCAGGATGACACTGCAAAGTGTAGGTCACCCTTCTAGCACTCCACCCCATCCAGTGGCCCCATCCCACAAAGAGTCTAAGTCATTGCCATGTCTGACAAGGTGCTACATGATCTACACCCGCTGCCACCTGTACACCACCGTTATTTCTCAGACCTCATCCCCATGATGCAGAAGGGGTTTAGGCAATAAGAGCTCTAATAGATATGAAGCCCTGGCTGTCGTCTGAACACAACAGGTGTGCTCCAAGTTCGAGGCCATTGCCCTTGCCCTTGCCCTGAAACAATCTTCTCCCAGATGTTCATATGATTCCGTCCCACACCTAGTTCAGATTTCTACTCAGATACTGCTTTCTCATAGAGGGCTTCCCTGGCTGCACTGTTGAAACTTGAACCCATTCTAACCCATGGCGTTCTCTGTCCCCTTCTCTTGATTTATTTTTCTCTGTAGCTCATCTCCCAGCTAACATACAATATAGTGATGTATTTATGTGTCTGTTGCCTGTCTCCAACCACATCGATCTTATTCACCACCGTGTCTCTAGCACCTAGAACAGGACCTGGCACTTAGTAGGTGCTTACAGAATGAATTTGTAAAAGATACCACTCTTGATATTGACCCTACGTCTACCCTCCTTCAATCCTGGCTCATGGCCTTGAACTCTACTAGTAGGCACTGACTCCTACTGCACTTAGGGAAGGCATCAGACTCTCATTCAAACAGACCCCTATCTAGCCCTGACTCATTACCATCCAGAGGAGCTTGGCATGCTAAGTTTGACCTGGAACTATTCTCCTCACTCTTCCTTCCAACCACAGTTCAGTCTCTACCAAATGAATATTTATCATTGCCAGAGAGGGCTGGGTTAGAGTTTAGACCAACAGCACTGCAAAGCAGGGATCTTCAGAGAAGACTAATGCCGTAGACTGAATGTTTGTGTCCCCCCTACAAAATGTATATGTTGAATTTTTGTTGTTGTTGTTGTTGTTGAGATGAAGTCTCATTCTGTCACCCAGGCTGGAGTGCAGTGGTGCGATCTTGGCTCACTGCAACCCCTGCCACCCAGGTTCAAGCAATTCTCCTGCCTCAGCCTCCCGAGTAGTTTGTATTACAGGCACCCATCATCGTGCCCGGCTAATTTTTGTAGTTTTTAGTAGAGACGGGGTTTCACCATCTTGGCCAGGCTGGTCTTGAACTCCTGACCTCACGATTCACCCGCCTTGGCCTCCCAAAGTGCTGGGATTACAGGTGTGAGCCACTGAGCACGGCTATATGTTGAAACTTAACCTTTGAGGTAATGGATTTGTGTGTGTATTTTGGGGTGGGGGGGGGGCTTTGGGAGGTGATTAGGTCATGAAGGCAGAGCCCTCATGAATGGGATTAATGCCTTTGTAAAAAAGACCCCAGAAAGATCCCCTGATGCTTTTGGCATTCGAGGACACAGTGAGCAGACAGTCGTCTATGAACCGAAAAGTGGACCCTCCCTGGACACCAAATTTGCCAACACCTTAATATTGGACTTCCTAGCCTGTAAAAGTGTGAGAAACTGTGTTTATGAGTGCCTCAGTCTTTGGTAATGTGTTACAGCTACCCAAGTGGATTAACACAGCCAAGCAGGGTCAGCTATTAACAGAGAGGGAATTGGGAGCGGGGGCAAAATGTCCCAGAGTTTCAATAAGCCCCAGAGGGAAACCCAGGAAACAGAACCCAAAAGTATCACCAGAATGGAGTTTTAGTCACTAGCTAAGCCAGAACCGTGCCATGGGTTGGCTCAGGAAGGCCGAGGGAGACAGAGGCCACAGGTGTTACTGGGGATACCTGGGGCAGAGACCAGGGGCTTCTAATGTTCCATCGTAGTTGGCCCCATGCCTTCTACCTTCTAGGGGCTACCTTCGTTCTGGTCGAGGATAAGACCTGAGTCCATCTCCCCACAACTGCGCTGTCCCCAGATTGGCAAGGGCACTTAGCAAACAGCTCAGTCTAACCACCTTCCAAGTTACATCATTATTTATCTACATGGCAGATAATGTTTCTAAATTTTGGCTGGATGCATGAAATAATGAATGAATTCTCCCATGCTCCACTCCAAGAAAAGGAAGAGGGGAAGATCAACTTTTTACTGTTGATGTAAGATACTCTTCACTGAACTCTGATCACACCCTTGCCCCCGACACCCTTTCTTGGTTTTGCCATTTTCTCTAAGGCAGTTGTTGTCAACCTTGTTTTATTGATGAGGAACCTGAAGCTCAGAGAGGTTGCTGTCTGTACAAAGTTATACAACTTACAGCTGGCAGAACCAGCATTTGAAACCAGATCTGTCTGACCCCAAATCCCATGCTCTTTCTCCTGGGCCACCCTCTCTTGAATGAAGAATTATAAGTATCTACTATCTGTTGGCCACTGCATTAAGATACCTCAGGTAGGTTGTTCTAGTTCATTCTTATATTATGAGACTCATATTAGGCCCTTGTTACAAGTGGGAAAACTGAGGTTTGGTGAGATTATCTACCTTTCCCAAGGTCATCCAGCGTCTAAGGTTCGGAGCTGGATTGGAACCTGGCTTTGTTTGACCCCAACACCAAGCTCTTTTCACTGCTCCACAATGCCAGGACACGAGGCCATGTCCAGGCTGGTGGACTCTTGGTGATGAGCTCAGGCTGCCAAGAGCAAGGCTTCTGTTTGCTTCACCCTTGGGATCATTAGTTTTATGCTGCTCCAGCTTTGCAGATAGTGGCCAGTGTACCTGTACTGACCAAGCCCAGGCAAGAATCAGGCATGAGTGGACAGGGCAGGCCCAGGACAGGTCAGTCTCCAAGTCTGGAGACACAAGGCCAACAACATGCCTCTCCACTGACACTGGTGCATGAGCTCATCGCTGGGCGCTGGAACCCACTCACTGCGTGGTTATTGCTTTGGTGTAAAGAATTAAATCTTAGCAGCATGGTGGGTGGTTCAGAGCTCAGACTCTGGAGTCTCACATCTTGGGTTCAAATCTAGGCTACTCATTGGCTTTATGATTTTTAGTTGGTTCCTTATTCCTTCTGAGCCTCACTTTCCTCATCTGTAAAATAGGGTTAGTAATAGAACTTGTCTTATAGGGTCATCGATCAGATTAAATATAATAATGTTGATAAAGGACTTACAACAAAGCACTTTACCGGTGTCCCATCAATAGCAGCCCCAATTGTGGTAATTTTTAAATATTGATGGGATGAGAAAGACAGAACAATTCATTAAGCTACCAATGAATGGGAAAATAACACAGACCCATGGACATCACCTCCCAATTTTTTTGTTTTGATTTGTTTTGTTTTGTTTTGTTTTTGGTCTTGGAAGAACACTGGACCTGAAATCTGAGGATTCAAGATTCAACTTCAAATCTGGCTGTGTGACTTCTGGCAAGTCACTTCGCCTCTCTCAGTCTTGTCCGACTTGTCTGAAAAAGAAAAATCGTGCTATTGAACTGCTCTACTTAGCCCTGGGATTCGCATGAGGCTCAAACAAAATGGTGTTGTGGAAATATTATGTAAAGTAGAAAATGCAGGAGAAATGCTAGCCATTGTGTTGAGGTAGTTCCCCTTTCTTGTCCCCCACCCCACCCAGGCTCCCTCCAGCCAGGGAGTCTACCTCCCGCCCTTTTTGGCTCTCAGCTGCCCTGGAATCTCAGTTGGCTCCCAGAAAGCATTTGGAGCACAGCACAAATTGTCTAAAGGTTGCTTCCAAAGCCTCCGGCGGCTAAGCCTGGCCCCAGCCCTTCCTCCTTGAAAATGTCTGGCTTAATGGGAAAGAATGTGGGCTGGCAATTCAGTCCCATTCAAGTCCACAAGCATCCACTGACCACCTGCAAATGCCAGGCCCTGGGCCCTGGGCACCTGGGGCTGAACAAGGTAGTCTCTGCCCTCAGGAGCTCATGGTCCAGTTAGGAAACAGTCATCTCACAGACAACCATAACACATGTTAGGGTAGCACTGGACTGGGGGCCCAGAGGAAGACACTGTACCTGTGCTGGAAGAATCAGAGAAGGCTTCCTGGAGGAAGGGACATCTGAGAAGAGCCCAACCCTCACCCAGTCACATCCAAATATGAAAGCCTTCATCCCATGGTGAAGCCTTCACCACACTAGCACCTCCTCATCCCTGTGGTCATGGGTTTGTCCACGCTTTAAGCTAAAGGTAGCTTTAAAATATTATTTAGTCCAGCTGTCATTTCAAAGAGACCCAGAGAGCTGAAGTGACTTTCTCATGGTTACCCAGCTGGATCTACTGAAAATATTGGGCATCTTTTATGTGAAGATTAATGTTTTCTTCTTGGGGATCCATTTCCAATCAGACCAACTGTCTGGGAAAGGGCACCAGCTGGTCATAAAAGTCAACCCAAAGGGGGATTCTTGGAGCTCCTTTTCTTCTGCCCCTTAGGCTGCAACCGTGGACCTGATCCTTGTGCAGCATCTCACAGTCTATGTGGGCTCCTGCAACCCGCTCAGTCCTCATAGCAACTCTGTGAACTGACCGTCACTTAACTTGTTTTACAGATAAGGAAACTGAGTTTGGACAACAATTCTTAAGAGGTGACTATGAAACTGAAAAATTGATTTCAAAAGTCAAAGAGCCCTGAGTCAACATCCAACTTCAAACTGGAAAGTCAATTTCATTACTTAGGAGTAACTGTTTCCTTGTCCTCTCCTCTTTTCTTTTATAAAATTGCCTTCTAAGCAGCAGGAATGACTGGTCGGCACCACGCTGGCTGGAGCGTCTTCTCTTTCCTGCCTTTTGATCCTGCCTCTGTCCTCCTCGCTCTCTTCCTGGCTTTCTGCCTCTATTCCTGTCTGCGTTTCTTTCTCCATATTGCTTTTTTCTCCCTTCTGCCTCTTATTCTCTCCCCACCTCTGTGTTTTTCTCTGCTCTCTATCTGGGTGTACGTGTCCGTTTCTCTCTCTGCCTCTGTCTCCTCTCTTCCCCTTCCCCTCCCAGGAAGGCTCTGCAGGTACTTGGAGGTGCCAAATACCTTTGCTGTGACTAACCCAGGGCCGTGCAGTGGCTGCGTCTTGCAGACCTCTCCGAGTTTCCAGTCACCAGTTCCCGGAGCAGTGGGAGGGGGAAGCTACTGAGGGAATCTGACAAGGCCCCTGCCCAAAGCTGCACATTCCCTGGACAAGAAAGGAAAGAGGATTACCAGAGAAGAGACAAACAGGAGGCATTGGTCAGTGACAGTCCGCCATCCACCCCCTCCACCCCCGAACATCTGGTTTGAAGACGGGTGGAGTCCCACCCTCCAGATGTGCGGCCTGAGGCTGAAGCAGCTGGCAGGAAAGACAGGCGGTGACTTCACAACCCACTTAAGCTGGGGGAGCTGAGGGTGTGCATGGGGAACAGGAGCCAATATCAGTGAAAGCAAAAGTCCAGGCTCTCCATCTGCTCTGGATGGGAAGCTGGGTGCTGGGAGCGCAGAGTTTAGAGAGAGAGAGACCCTCATCCCTGCTGGCTGGATTCAAATCCTGGCTCCTCCTGGTTCCTAGCAGTGAACTTCTGCACCACTGATTCCCTTTCCCAGCCCATCATTCCTAACCCGTCAGAAGAGTGCCGTTTCTTCCCTCACAGAGCCATCCTAACATTTTGATAAATGAAATCACTTCTCTGAAATGCCTAGCACAGAGTGCTGGGTGCCCCGTAAACATTGCTTTCCTTCCTTCACCTTCCAGAAAGTCTTCCTGGACAAGCCCGACTCCCCGGCTCTCCCACTCTCCTCTCTCTGCTCCCTGCCGGTCTCTGTGTGTCTTTTCTGCCTGGGTCTGCCCTCTTGTCAGACCACCCTGCTGCGTGGGCAATCGCCCACACCATCATTGTTCCTGAGCTTGCCCTTGGTGGTGGTGGTGGTGGTGTTAGTTCTCAGCGGGGTTTCTGCCCAACATCCTGTCTCCTTACCGACACAGTGAGCTGCTTCTCCGGGTTGACAGAGTCCTGCGGTAAGAGAGAGACACTCACAGTAGCATGTTGGGTGAAAGCATGGACTTGAGGGTCCACTAGACCCAAATTTGCATTTGACCGTCTCTTACTTATTAACCTGTGAAATGAAGATAAGGAGAGGATTGGGTTCTGAAGATTAAATAGATGAATTTCTTAGCACACTAGGCCCTCAGGAATGGTGACATTTAGCTATTATTACACGGCCTGTTAGCTCACTCGATACCCAGCATACTGTTAGGTAAGAAGCAGGCATTAATGAGTAGAGCTGGAATAACAGGGAACGGCTCTCATAGATCGCTTCCCGTTGGTGATTTGTCTATTACAATTTAGCTTGGACTGGGCTCCTGGGAGTGCCCAGTCTCTCAGACTCAGAATAATTTCTGGAATCATCTAGGTCTGCCATCCATTTCCACATTTTGAAGGGAAAAATGAGTCCCCAACGAGGGAAAGAGATTTGCTTAAACTTCTGGTAAACACGTTCATAGAGTTGTTTGTTCTCTATCAAAATGCAGAGAAGGTAGCATCTGCTCTTAACTCCTGAGGGCACTGATGTACAAGCCACTCTCTACAGTAGGTTTGCACTGAGAAGGGGGAGTGAGAGCAAGGGGTGGCCTGGGCACGAAAGGGGTCATCATCTCATGAATAATCCCTCCACCCGGCTGGTGTGGTACCTCTTATTCTCTCTGAAAATTCATTTGCTCAAGATCACGCAGGTAGTAGTGATGAGTCAGGATTCAAACCTAGGTCTGTTTGAGTCCAGAGCTGGGTTTTCCATGACACCTGTAGCCTCTGGAGGGAAACAGTTGCCACCAAGATGAAAAAGAGGCCCCCAAAAGGAGGCTTGGACCCCAGGAAGACCAACTCATTGCCTTCTGCAGTTGCCTCAGGCCGCCCAGTCTCCAGGAGGGAAGGAACAGGAGAGGGAGGAGATGTTGACCTCCCAGGCGGGCCTTCAAGCTCATCTGTGCAAATTAGAGTCCAAGGGGAGAGGCAGCTAAAGACAACTGTCACCTGAGCCCCAAGGATACTGACCACCCACCCTATCTAGCTCAGGTGGGCAAGTGGCTGGTGAAATTGCTAGAACTTACCTCTTCCCAAGACTTACCTCTTCCCAAGCAGGTGGGCAGCAGGCAGCATGGACGGTTGTCTCAGCCTTCAGCGTCTCCTCCACCTCTCTCTCTCCCTAATGCTCCCTCCCTCTCCTCTGTCTCCAACCTTTCTTTCCTTCCTCTGTGTCCACTGCCCCTGGTTAGAAGGGATTCTAGGCCACTAGCTGGCTCGGGGCACCAGGATGGCCCAGAATTGTCTGCAGAAGCCAGCCAAGGGTTGTTCCTTTATTTCCGTTCTGCTGGTGAGACATTGAATGTTCAGAATTGGAGCTGGGATACTAGGCATCAGATGACTGTGACATCTCACAAGGCCGCCCCCTTCCCCACCAGGGCTTAGGCATCCACTGGCAACTTCCTAGATTTCCCAAAGCCACATATGAATCATACATTTATACTCACTCAGGGGGTAACTGAAATAGCTAGTGTTAAAAAAATGCTGATTATCTCATATTGATCACTTGATTGGTAATTGGAGCAGTCTTCAATTACTTCAAGGTTTTCATTGATTTGTTATTATTCACTATTATTGAATGGACAATTCACCATGTTACTTTGGGTAAGTTACTTACTTTCTCTGATTTCTTCCCTATAAACGGAGGGCATCATACGTGATAGGGTCTTAGTGAGGATTTAATGAGCTAATACTTATAAAAGGCTTAGAACAGTTCCAGGGACCTTATAGCTATTCGTGTGAGCTGTTTTTGTTGCTAGTGTTGCTATTAATGGCGTGATAAGACGGAATATTTTAAAGCATACTATGCACAATGGGGAAAGTTGTTAATAACGTGGACTTCTGGTTGCTGAGGAGAAAACAAGGCCAAGGAGGTGAAATGGGAAGGCTGTAGGATAAAATGGAAAGAATATGGGCTTTGGACTCAGGCAGAGCTAAATTCACATCCCAGCTCATGTGCTTCCTCACTGGGTGACCTTGGCTGAATTGCTTTTCTACTCTGATCCTCTGTTTCCTTGTCTATAGAGTGAGAAAGAACATGTCTGTGCCTGGCAGAGACTAGGTATTCAAACAGCAGTGTCCTTGGTGTAAGATCCTCCCTTCATTTCCCATCCTCTCCCAACCATTCTTTTCCTTGCCTCCACTGCCAAGCCAGCGAGTATTGAAGCTCTGTGTTGAGCCAGGTCTTCTGTCCTGTTCTCTTCTTTTCCAGAGATTTCCATGAGATCCTATAAGAATCCAAGCTGAGACCTAGGAGTCATTCTGGGCTGTGTGACTAAGGGCTTGGTGCTTTATTTTGTATTTATTTACTTATTTATTTATTTATTTATTTACTTTGAGATGGACTCTGTCACTCAGGCTGGAGTGCAGTGGTGCGATCTTGGCTCACTGCCAGCTCCGCTTCCCGGGTTCAGGCCATTCTCCTGCCTCAGCCTCCTGAGTAGCTGGGACTACAGGCGCCCGCCACCATGCCCGGCTAATTTTTTTGTATTTTTTTAGTAGAGGTGGGGTTTTACCGTGTTAGCCAGGATGGTCTCGATCTCCTGACCTCGTGATCCGCCTGCCTCGGGCTCCCAAAGTGCTGGGATTACAGGTGTGAGCCACCGCGCCCGGCCAGGGCTTGGTGCTTTAACTTCCTGTCTGGAAAAATGGAAAGTGTTAAACTAGAAAGGTAAATACTTGGGTCAAATAACTAATTTCCTCTTTGCCTTATCTTAGTTAAGAGGAAGAGTTTGGAACCCTTTGGCTTGGGACATTTGACTGTAATCTGATTAATAATAGATGTTTGGGAAGATACTAGTTAAAGAGACCCTATGAGAAACTGATCTATAAAGTGAACACTGTCTCCCACTAATTTCGCTATTGACAAAGGTTTCTACTAATTCTTAGAGCTTGTCCTATGAGGAAAGGCACAGATTGGTATGGTATCGTGTTTAAGAATTGGGCTTTAGAGGGCAAGCACGATGGCTCACGCATGTAATCCCAGCACTTTGGGAGGCCGAGGCAGGCGGATCACGAGGTCAGGAGATCGAGACCATCCTGACTAACACAGTGAAACCCCGTCTCTACTAAAAATACAAAAAATTAGCCGGACGTGGTGGCAGGCGCCTGTAGTCCCAGCTACTCAGGAGGCTGAGGCAGGAGAATGGTGTGAACCCAGGAGGCAGAGCTTGCAGTGAGCTGAGATCACGCCACTGCACTCCAGACTGGGCGGCAGAGCAAGACTCTGTCTCAAAAAAAAAAAAAAAAAAAAAAAAAATTGGGCTCTAGAGCCAGAATGCTTGGGTCTGAATCCCAGCTTTGGCACCTTAGGCAAGTTGCTTACCTCTGTGTGCCTCAGTTCCCTCGTCTGTAAAATAAAGATAATAATATTACTGTGTGTGGCTGCATGTGGATTAAATGAGTTGACCAATGTAAAATGCTAAGAACAGTGCTCATGTCTGTAAGTACCAGCCTATTATTGTCAACTCTGCATCTCCCAGTGTTTTGGGGGAAGACATTTGGAACCTGTTCCTCATGCCCTGATCCAGTGTCTCCCTTTTCTCAGCCATCTGGAAATAAAATTAAGCCAAAGCCTAAATGGTAACATTTATCTACAGTGCCCACCCTACTGTGCCTCAAACCTTCTTTTGTCCCCATTGCCTGCAGCCCCCACGGGACTGCGATTTTCAGTTCTCAGAGAAGCCCAAGGTTGGAATGGACCATCAAGATCACCTCATTTGATCCTTCTTTGGATACTGGGATCTGTTGGCTAACATCCCTTCAAAATAGCCCTCCCATCTCTTCTCGAATGCCTCCAGTGGCAGAGAGCTCACCACCTCCTGGGCAGCCCACCTCATCTCTGAATGGCTGTAATTCAAGAAAAGGTCTTCTTGAACTGAACTCAAATCTGAGCCTGCAAAAGCATCCCAATCAGATCATTTCCCTGTTAGTTAACTTTCAGTCTTTCCTCATTGACCCCAGGGTTATGTCCAAACTCCTAAGACATCTGCAATTTCCAGCTGCATTTCTGCCCCCAAGTCTGGTATTCCAGCCACACTCTGCGTCTCACCTGTTTTTAAATGTTGTGCATCCTTTTACAACTCTGCTATTTTGCATATGCTGTTCCATCTCTCTTCCCTTCTCTGATTGGCAATCTCCTACACATTCTCTAAGATTCTGATCAAAACTCTTATTCTCCAAGAGCGTGACCAGTTCCCTCAAAGGGTTTCAGGGTTCCATTCCCCAAGCTTCTCCAGCACCTCTCATTTTTGTGCTGTAATCATCTGTTGATGTGCCCATCTCCCCAGTGAGTGGCAGCTCCTTATTCATGTTCCACATTGCACCTCTCGGGCCCAGTTTAGCACCTGCACAGAACAGTTGTCCAGAAAGTATTTATCTAGTGAATGAACAAGCACCAAATTGGCTGCTAATTACACCTGTTGGTGCAAGTTCCATTTTGAGTCTAACCCTCTTCACACACCTGCCCTTCAAATATTAGAAGACAGTTCTCAGGTCCCCTGAATCTTCTCTTCACCAGGTTAACATCCCTAATGCTGCCAGCATTTCCTTATATGATGTGGTTTCAAGTCATTCTTTACCTCTGTCACTCTCCTCTGGACAATTCCAGGGATTTAGCATCTTTCTCAATGTATGTCTTCCAAAGTTGAACCCGAGACTTCATAGTGGTCCGACATGTGTAGGGGGTGCAGCAGGACTATTCTTCACTTGTTCTGGGCTTGACGTGGCTCATAGCATGAAAAGAGCACTGGCATTAGAGCCAGCTACACATGGGCTCAAACTAATGTTGGCATCCATCAGCCATGTAACTAGGGGTAATACTCAAAATATTTAACAAATGACATGGTTCAGGAACTAACTAGTCAATTACAGCTTTGGAGCACAGTAAAAAAGCCCCTGCTGTGCCTGATGTTATCCTTTTGGTTTTTGGATCATGGGGTAGAGGTGGAGGTGGGGGATCAGGGAAGCAGCTAATTCTCAACCAACACACAATATCTGAACATTTTAACAGCTGGTACAGCCACACCTGTGTGGACCAGGTAGATATCAGTAATGGATACAACCAGATTAAAGTAACTTCAGTGCTCTGAGCCTCAGTTTCCTCATCTGTGAAATGGAGTTGAAGGTAGTAGCCACTGCTGGGGACTTTGAAGGGACACTGTATTACTTCATTTTCACACTGCTGATAAAGACATACCCGAGACTGGGTAATTTATAAAAAAAAAAAAAAGGGGGGGTTTAATGGACTCACAGTTCCATGTGGCTGGGGAGGCCTCACAATCATGGCGGAAGGCAAAAGGCACATCTTACATGGTGGCAGACAAGAGAGAGAATGAGAGCCAAGTGAAAGGGGAAACCCCTTCTAAAATCATCAGATCTCATGAGACTTATTTACTATCACGAGAACAGTATGGGGGAAACCGCCCCCCCCCTGTGATTCAATTATCTCCCACCAGGTCTCTTCCACAACACATGGGAATTATGGGATCTATAATTCAAGATGACATTTGGATTGGGACACAGCCAAACCCATATCAGACACAATAAGTAACATCCCCTCTTTCCTGCCAAAATTTCAAACCAATTAAGAAATAAGAAAAAAGAATGAGCAGATGGGAAAGAAAATATCACCTTTATTACATAAGAAAAGTTAGGCTGGAATATTCAGCTTATATCTGCAGGTGAGTGGGCTCCTACCTGAATGCAGGATTAGACCCACTCACCTGGGAGGTCCCAGACTCTGCTGGTCCAGGAGGGCCTCCCTCACCACCTAAGTCTCCAGCCTGATCTCTGTCACACACTTTGTGTTTCAGCTACACTGAGCTTTTAATGATCATTTTTTAAAATGCTAACTCCTCTCTTCTGATAATCCCATGTCTTTGCCTGCTGTTCTTTTATTCTGGAATGTTCTGTTTTCCCTTCTCTGGCTGGCAAATTCCTACTCATGCATTAATACTTGGTTCACACATCCCCTCCACCAAAACCTACCCCTGCCTGTGAACTTCAAGTGGGAGCCCAGGATGTCATTCCTAAGAACAACAGGAAGCCAACAGGGAATAACTGGAAGGGATTCATTTTTACAGGAAATCAGATATCAGGAAGCACTTTCTTCAAATTCAGAGTCATGCAGCAGGAGCTTCATCTTGGCGCTTTGCATTTGCCAGTGGGGAGAGGGAAGGATCCCACCTGTCAATTTCTTTTTCCTCTTTGAACGCTGTGTTTCTTGCTCATTGATGAAGTAAGTCTGCATTCTACTTAGTGACATCGTGTTCACACTCATGGGAACAGGCATTTGTCAGGCTTGTGCCTCTGCAGGTGTTATCTCTGGTAGTAGAGTCGCTTAGGGCTGAGAATCCTGCCTCCCAGAGAGAGTCTTTCCCTCATATGTTATTAACAAACCCAGAGCCCTCTTGAAACCACACATCTGATAAGTGCAGGTAAGCGACTAAAATGTAAGGACTTGGCAGATGTGGAGTGCTTAGCATAGTGCTTGGTACGGGGTCAACGTTAAACAAGTGGTGGTAGCTGTGGTTATGATGACCGTATTACTACCAGGATAATTGATAATTAGTTGCTACAACAGAAAAACCCTGGGAATCTCAGTGGCTTACCACAAGAAGATGTCACAATGTGAGATCTGATACGGGTCAGGCAGTCCTCCTGCATCTGGCCACCACATCCTCTGGAGCGCATGGCCTCCATGATCAGCATGGCAGAAAAGCAGAGCAATGTGGAGGAGGCACATCAGCTCTGACCTGCCCAGAAGTGACATCTCAACCCCTTTGCTCATAGTCCATTTCTCAGAATGAGTCAGGGTCCTGGTCCTGATCTCTAGGGAGGATGGGAAGTGGAGAGGAGCACTGGGAGATATGGTAGTTAATACCGTCTCTGAAACCATTATTTAGGTGGACAGGAATAGATATAGCTCCCTCACCTCCTTTGAAAAGGATTTGAGAATGAGACTATGTATAGAAAAGATGGACATGGATGAAGCTGGAAACCATCATTCTCAGCAAACTATCGCAAGGACAAAAAACCAAGCACCTCATGTTCTCACTCATAGGTGGGAATTGAACAGTGAGAACACATGGACACAGGAAGGGGAACATCACCCACCGGGGCCTGTTGTGGGGTTGGGGGAGGGGGAGGGATAGCATTAGGAGATATACCTAAGGTTAAATGACGAGTTAATGGGTGCAGCACACCAACATGGCACATGTATACATATGTAACTAACCTGCACGTTGTGCACATGTACCCTAAAACTTAAAGTATAATTAAAAAAAAAAGAAAAGAAAAGATCCAGAAGAATGGCTCAGTCACATCACTTAGCTTCACCAACCCTCAGTTTCCTTTTTAGCAAAATGAGGAGAATACAAGTACCTAACCTCATGGGTTGTTTTGAGGTTTGGGTGATAAATATGACAGTCTATAAGACTGAGCTGACCTATTAAGACTGTTCTATAAAAATTAGTTGGATTGGGAGCTCAGCTCCAATTGGCCCTTTGGGTCTACACCGTCACTGAACATTTTGAACTTAGCACACACAAAAATTCTGAACTGTTGTTTGCAATTCTCCCCTTTCTGTTTTTCTGTGGCTGGTGTTTTGGACCCATTGATTTATGTTCAGAGAGGTCTGTCTGCTTGCTTACTGGTATGCCTGGCCCTGAGCTGGTAAATGTTTAGTGAAAAAAGAATAGGAGAGCATTTGAAGAATACACAGGCTTCAGGCAAGTAAGGAAGGGGTTGGTGGGGTCTTTAGGCCCGTTTTAAAGGAAGTCACATGATATGCTAGGAATCTGAGCCCTTAGATTCTCAAAATATTCTGCTGCAATACAATATAATGCTGGTCAAATTGTTTCCATTCCTGTCTCTGTTTCTCAGTCTGTAAAATAGGAGACAGTACAGCATGATTCTTAAGGGCATAGATTCTGGACTCAGATTGTCTTGGTTCAAATGTAGGTTTTAATTTTTTTGCCCATTGCCTGTTTTGGGACAATTATATTATCATTCCTGAGCCTCAGTTTTTTCCATTTATGGTCTCATAAGATCATTGTGGGGACCCAGAGAAAAAAAATTATACAAAGCATTAACACTGTGTTTGTCTGACATGAATCCACAATGTTGGATAATATTATCAAAATAATGGGGTAAGTACTCTACACTATGCAGTAACAAAAGAGGACAAACTGTTGATACAAGCAGCAACATAGATGAGTGTCAAAAACTTCATGCTGAGCAAAACAAGCCAGTTGCACATAATTGCACTTTTATATGAAACTCTAGCAAAGACAAAATTACTCTACAGTGGCAGAAAACAGATAAGAGATTGCCTGGGATCTGGGATGACTACAGTGGGCATCAGGGAATTTCGTGGATGTTAGAAATGTTCTATCTCTTGATTGTGGTCATGGTCCCATATGTGTATCCATTAGTCCATTAGTATTTCATGTGTGAAATCTGAACACATAAAACTGATGCCTTTATTGCATGTAAATTATACTCCAGTAAAGTCGATTTTAAAATTAAGAAACAAAAACACAATAAAATGAGAGGGTTGAACTACATGAGCCTACCTCTGATTCTAGGAAATCCTGCCAGGCATGGCCCCCTCCTCTCCCCACCAAATAGAGCTTCCTGGGCAGGAGCCCCTTGCTGCCATCCCCCTGCCTCTGGGCCTCTTCCTCCACAAGTCCTGGTCCCTTTCTCTGCCCTCGGGTCAGCCAGCTTAAGCTCTCTGCTTTGTCAGCAAACCAACATAAGGGTGCAGGCTGGAGTGGTTCAAGTTCCCAGACATGAGTGGGAGCCCAAGATATTAGCTCATAAAAGGATGAAAATGTCACCAGCCTCCCTGTGGGCTGGGAGACCCAATGACCTCTCTGGCTGCTAGGGGCTGCTGACCGTGTTTCAGGAGTCAGCGTGGGAGGCCTCAGGGCAGTCAGCTGATGGTGATGCTTGAAGATCTGTCATGTTGGGACTAAGACAGATCCCCTTCTAGATAATCAGAATTTCCAGAGCCGTCAAATTCCAGGGCTGGATTTGCAGGGAAGCTGGGGGAAAAAACAAACAAACAAACAAACAAAAAACAAAACAAACAAACAAATACAGGAATGATGTTCCAGCCTGCACTAGGTCATTCGTACAAATTATTTTGCTTCCCACCGCAACATTGTGGGCTTGATCTGCTAATAGTAGTGATAGTAATAATAATAGCTAGCATTGATTGAGAATTTACTACGTGCCAAGTACTTCCCTAAGCACTTTACATATATTACCTCAGCTACCCTGTCATGTAGGTGCCACCACTATCCCCATCTTGCTGATGAGGAAATTAGGGCACAGAGAAGATGAGTTATTTACCCAAAGTCTCACAGCTAGAAATGCAGATATGGGGCTTGATCCCACTCCATCTGATCCAGGAGCCTGCCAAAAGCCTTGTATCCTGCCCCTCAACACACACAGAGCCAGGGACCAGAAACGAGGATCTCAGTAAACACTTCCACAGAAGAACCCATTGGTGGCAGTGGAGGCAGATGGAGTGTAACCACCTCTCACTTCCACCCCCAAATCCTGCGCAATTGCCCCTCATTGGGAAGCCTAAATCACCCCTGGAGCCTTAGCTCCCAAAAAGTCTAGGTATGTGGATTTAGCTTTTTGTGATCCTTCCAAAACAGGTAGGCACATTAGAAGGAGAATAGAATGGATGCCGAAGACTGTATCCACCCTGAGAAGCAACATTGAATTGGGGAGAGTCAAAGGCCATGAGGGATACACAGGGTATTAGGAAGGACTCCTGGATAACAGGTAGTAGAAACCAGTGTAAGCATGGTTCCATGAGGATTTAGCCCAAGACCTAGGGGGAATGTCCTGTGGAATCCAGAGGCACAAATAAACCCAGGAATGTCCTAGAATCAGCAAACACTGTCAGGACTTTCTCTTCATCTCGGATCTCAGCCCCACTCTGTGTGTCGTCTTTATCCTTCTCTGTCCCTGCAGATGGGGTTCCGCTGCTTCCCAAATCCATGCAGCAGGAAGCATGGCAGCCATCACAGGGCCATCCTCCCAGGGCGATGTCTGTCTGTCTGTCTGTCTGCCTGCCTGCCTCTTCTCTGCTCCTCCATCACCCATTCCAAGTTCTCAGGGAAGAGACCTGGTTAACCTTGGATCAGTGTCTCTGCCCCCATCCCTCGGGTCACATGCGTGAAGGCTGGGGCAGCCGGGGATGTGTACAAAACAGCAGCTGCCCATACTCTCTCCCCCCTGCACCTGGAGATGAAGGTGGTGGTTAAGATGATAGAGCGGATAAGGTTGTTGGCCCCATAGGCTAAGAACACCCTGTAAGATATATCCTGCATGCGTGTATCCACTCATACTGTTAACCAGCCTAATCAGGGCTCAGGAAGTTTTCCGATTGCTCCCACATGCAAAGAGGCCTCCAAGCTGCTGACACTCAGACACCAGATGAGGGATTGCCTCTGTCCACCCACCCCAGGCCCTTTAAAGCAGCAGACTCAGCTGCTTAATACACCCACAGACCATGACAGCAGTGGCCCTAGACAGTCTGTTTAGTTCTGGACCTTTTCTTGCTCAGATTGCCTCTCCTTTAGAGTCTTGGCTCTTTGCTTGGCTCAGCCTGGCTTTTGGTCCTTTTGAATAATTGTCAGTCCTTGGTTTCCCTGGTGTAAATCTCTGTCCTCTCCACCAGGCTTTGACTAAGTGTGGCGCTGTGATCCTATAATGCCCCTCCTTGTCCAGAGTGTCCTCATGAAGGCCACTGCCCATTACCTCAAAACCCACCCCCCAGCTCTTATCAGTCAGCATCCTGGCTGGGCCCATCTGAGATGTCTACACTGAGGGCTTCAAGAGCATCACATGAACTTTCAGCCATTTGTACTTGGCCAAACTCTTGGGCCTTGGTTCAGCATTTTGTGAGTTTGGGCTCCACACCAACCCCTCTGCCAGACACTGGAACACAGAGATGAATAAGATAAGGCTGTTGCCTTAAGGAGGCCACAGATATGGCAAAGACTGAGCTCCGCCAGGCGCCGGCCATGTTAGACATCAGATAGAAACCAAGAGCCAGCTACTAGGAACCACTCTCCTGGGCTCAGACAGCCAGAGGAGAACTCACAACAGCCCAGAATGTCAGAGATAATTCTGATCCTGGAATAGGAAGCTGGAAGATAAGACGTCTTTGTTAGTTCCTCCTCCATGGGTACAATGAGGTATTCATGCTGTTCCCCTCAGGACTTGAGCAGCATTTTAGGCCCAAGAAATATCTATGCATCATCATAATTGTGTGATATGGCTGTCCTCTTTCCACCCCACCCCTTGACAAATCCTGGTTGGGTAAGATAAAGTTCTGTCGATGCTGATGCTGCTGTGATCCCCTTCAATCAAATTTCGCTTTGTGGCATTAGATTTAGACTTCTCAAGAGTTGAAAATCTGGGAGCCTCTTCCTTCCATTGCCTTTGCCCCCCACACTCAGCCACTGTGTAAAGGGATCAGCCAATTCTCCAAGTGCTCCAGGGGCAGACTTTATTGAAAGATACCATGGCATGGGGAGAAGAACATGACTTTAAAGTTTAACTATCCTGAGTTTGAATCACTTATCAGCTGTGAAGACCTGGACAATTTTTTTAACCTCTCTGAACCTCAGATTTTTGTCTTGTTTTGATTTTTTCCAAAGGATAATATAAGACTTATGGAAATAGCTTTATAAAGTTGATTGCAGGATTCAATGAAACAGCATATGTAAAACCCCCAGTGCATTGCCTGGAACTTAGTGGATGGTCAGTAAATATGGTTTCCATCTGTAAGTTCTAAGTACGTCTGGTGAAGTAAATGAACATGGTTCCCACCTTCAGGAACCTTAAGATCTTTAGTGACTGGGCTCACCTGTGTGAAACATCATCATCTGTCAAGCAGGCAGTAATATTTACCTCATAGGATATGTAGACACTGTTAATCCTCACTTTACAGATGAAATTACGATGTCCAGGGAGATTGAATGACTCATCCATGGTCACAGAGCTGGGAAGCAGTGGAGTTGGGATTTGAACCTGTCCTTCTGGCTCCAGAGCCCATGGTCCTACCACTTCACTCTGCTGCCTGCACCATCTTGCTGAGCTAGGTTAGTGTGGGGAGTCACCAGGAAGCTGAAGGTAGTGGAAAGGGTTGGATTTGGAGTTCAGCAGGTGAGAATCTGACTTCACAATAATGGTGAAGGTACTCTGCTTCTTCGTTTGGAAAATTACACCAATAACAACCACTGCCTCCAGAGTTCTTGAGTAGATCTGATTAAATCCATTGGTTCAGCAGGCTTGCTGTGTGTCGGGCACTGTCCTAAGTGCTGGGGATGAAGCTTTGAGAAAGACCATGATTTGGCCACAAATGGGTCCCTGCCTTACTGTCAAATGAGAGAATAAGATCTCATTGGGAATACTTCCCAAACAGAGGTTCACCATTAGTACTAAGCAAGTGAAGGTGCTTGCATCTCTACAGGGACTTAGTACAAACAAAACAACACAATAATAAAAGCAATAATAATGAGCATGCATTAAACATTTTTTGCTGTGCTGATCACGATGTTAAGCTCTTTGCATGCATTTTCTCAGTCGCCTCAAAACATTGCACATAGGCCTTATAATTGATCCCTATTTTACACATGAGAAACCTGAGGCCCAGAGACATTGTTGGTTCACAGCTAGTTGAGCAGTGAAGCTGGTTTTCCATTGTAGGTGGCCTGCTTTCAGAGCCTTGAGTTCTAAATATCACACCATATGGCCTCTACTACATCATGCTACTGCCTCTGATTGCTTGCCTCTTGGTGATATATTTAGAAACATTTGGAAGCCTTGTAAAGGGCTTTGTCATTAACCGTGGAGGATTTAGCCCACAAGTCTCTATACCTGGTCTTGATCCTGCATCTACTATAGACATAAAGACAGACTTTGGGCTACAGGCTGGGGAGCAACACCCCATGACACTTGCTGGCAAGGCCCCACAGCCTTGGTAGTTACCTCACCACTGGCCTTGACATCACTGCTGGCCAAGCCAAGAGCCTGGGTTGTATCTTGCATCTAAAAGCCTGATCGTAGGCTTTTATGAAGCTGTATCTTTCAGAGAACTTCCTGGATATGACCTCACTTGTCCTCCATCAGCTTCCCCAGAAAGAGCGGCTGGCAGCTTCATCCCAGATTTATAGATTGTGGAGCTGGAGGTGTCAGAAAAAAAGTTACTTTTTCTAGGTCACCCAGTAAAGTTGGGTGCAAAGATGCCCCCAACCCCCAAGTGTCCTGAATCCCAGTCCTGGCATGGCATCTGAAGCCGTAATGGCCAGAGAACTGAAATCACACACCAAAGGGCAGCTCTTGACTCTCAACCCAAGACTCTTTCCCCTGCGTGGCATTGGAGTCATTGTTTCACTGAAAATACATTTATTGATCACTTACTGTATGCCAGGAGCTGGGCTGAGCACTAGGGATGCCTGGGTGGATGAGGCAGATATGTCCTGCTGTTGTGGAGCTCATAGGCCAGCCAGGTGACAAGCAATCACCTCTGGGGTGAGTGTCATGGAGAGAAAAGCACAGGGACTCTGGGACCGTGCAATCTGGTGACATGCCTTGTCCAGGGGGTCATGAAAGGCCATCCTGGAAAGTGATGTTTGTGGTGACACATACAGGGTGACAGAATGTTGCAGGTGAGGTGGCAGATGTGCTCCAGGCAGAGATACAGCATGTGCAACCAGAGAGGGCACTCTAGAAACCAAAACATGGCAAAAGGGAGAGTGGCAAGTGATGTGTTGGGTAGGTAAAGGTAAGACACGGAAGGCTTTGAGATCTGTATTAGTTCTGTGTGCTTTGTAACAAATTATCACAAATTTAGCATTGCAAGACAACACCCACTTATTACCTCACAGTTTCTGTGCCTCAAGAGATGCCAGAACCTGAATTTTTCAGCAAATCCTGAGGAAGTACACCATTCAGGTCGGGATACTTGATAAGCAAACTCACAATATTATTGTCTGTAAAAGTGAGATGAGAACCTTAAGTAACACTTAGACCAGAATCCTCTTGAACACACTGTCAACTCATCCTCTCCCATCAAGTTATGTAGGAAATCAAATGGAGATCAGAATACCAGTCTATTGATTCATGATGAGAAAATCAGCTGAAATGGGAAGATCCTGGAATCTGCAGTGTCTAGCCCATTCTAAAGGCAGAAGCACATGGGAAGCCAGAGCTTACCCAGGTGGCTGCTCAGTAAGCCGAGTGTCGAAGTGATGGGAACCAATTAAAGCACATGCTTAATGGTACCCGACCATTATATGGTCTGATGCAGCCACCTCACAGTAGGTTTAGTCAGGCCAATGGGATGAAATATATTCAAGGTGTGCATTTAGTAAATGGTAGCCACCATTACAATGGTTATTCTTTGTCTTAGCCAATGTCCTTGTCTAAGGGCGGTAGACTAGGTGACTTCTATAGTGCTGATGTGCTCTGATCTCAAGGGCTATTATTACTTATCTAGGGAAATAGTCTAGAGTCTGCACATTGCCCTCATGAAAATCTAAGCCTTTATCATTGTCATCCATCTCGTGAGCATTAGTAGTAGTATTATAGAAAGCAGTCATTATCTATGAACGACTGCCTATGTTTAGGGCACACTATTAAGTACTACTAAGGTTTACTACAGCCCCTATAGGGTAGTTTTATCACTCGTATTTTGTAGATGAAGAAAGAAGAAACTGAGGGTCAAAGTGGTACCATCATTTGCCCAAGGTCACCCAGCAAGTGAATGGAAGAGAAGGGATTCCAATGACCTTCAACACAAGCCCTAGTGAAGCACAGTGAAAATGGATCATACTTCACATGCCTGCTGAGCAAGTGGATGCTGTAAATTCAACCTTTTCTCTCCCACTCAAGAAAATAGATTAGATTGCAAGTCAGTGAGAGTGATGTCATTATGGGGGTAACCTTGAACCCACTCTAATTTATTAAAAGAGGAAGTATTTGTACAAACATCAGTACTCTTACTAATACAGTGACTGCTGGCTTGGAAGTTTCTAAATGCGTGGTAGCGGGACTTCAGTCCCCATCACTGTAGTTCCCAGTTACTTTGGAGGATCCCCTGAAGGTGCCTCCCATCTGCCCACAAAGCAGGTGACCAGCTGTAATTATGTGTGGGTATCAGCCCCCTTCTTCCTCTCCCACTGGCTCTGTCTGCAACTTATCCATGTCCATCATCCACATGGAGTCAACTGTCCACTGAATCGGGATCACGCTTTTGCCCCCACACCGTGAAGTAGTACATTCATTCATTCACTCACTCATTCGTTTAATATTTATTGAGGATCTGCTTTGTGCCATGCACTGCTCTCAAGCCCGGAAAGAGGATGGTGACCTAGAATGAGAGGTCCCTGTTCTTGTATAGCTGATCGTCTAGTTGTGGGTAGGGGGAACAGACAATTAACAAATGGATAGCTGAATAAATGAGTAAAACAACTTCAGACAGAGTTCAGAACTAAAAAGAAAATAAATAAAACTGTCTGGCTGGAGAAGCACTAGTTAGGATGGGGTAACCCCACCCCACGTATCCTGGGCCCACCGTTGAGCTCACTGGCACCTTCTGTGGTCAGTTCCCAGGCATGCAGACAGACATTGCTTTCCTGCATCTCCTCTTCTCCTTCTGAAGACTTTCTCTGGTGCCACAGGAGTGTGCTCTGCCCACACACAGGGACTGACTACCCACCGCACCCCCAGGGCAACCTTCAACCCATGAGGGCAAGAGCCTGTTGGATAAATACTTCAACTCCTCTATCTCTTAGTGGGACAATTTGGAGGCATGTTTCACACCATACCTCAGGGGTCTCCAACAAGACTGAGTCTCAGTTTCCCTCAAGGGTAACCAACTCAGTAACACATCCTGTTAACACACCCATCTGTGTCATACTTTCATGACTCCCCCAACCTCTTGTGCTCCCTGAGATTGCCTTGCAAATAATCCACCTATACCAAGTCTCTTTCGGTGTCTGATTGGCAGGAAGCCAAACTGAGATACATGGTCAAGGTCAGCCTCTCTGAGAAACTGATGTTTGAGCCGAGATGCAAATCATGTGAAGTAACCAAGATGCAGAGGTCTGGAGGGGAGGGCTTTCCAGCTAAAAAGAGGAGCAAGAGCTCAAGCCCTAAGACAGGAAGGAGCTGATGTGGGCTGGGCCCAGAGGCAGCTGGTATGGCCGGAGCACAGGAAGCACAGGGGAGCATGATGGGAGATGAAGCTGGAGAAATAGGCAATTAAACTTCATTCACCCTGATGATAGTTTCCTTTGCTGTGCAGAAGCTCTTTGGTTTAATTAGATCTCACTTGTCAATGTTTGCCTCTGTTGCAATTGCTTTTCGCATCTTCATCATGAAACCTTTGTCAGTGCCTATGTCCTGAATGGTATTGCCTAGATTTTCTTCTAGGGTTTTTATAGTTTTGGGTTTTACATTTAAGTCTTTAATCCATCTTGAGTTGATTTTTGTGTATGGTGTAAGGAAGGGGTCCAGTTTCAGTTTTCTGCATATGGCTAGCCAGTTCTCCCAGCACCACTTATTAAATAGGGAATCCTTTCCCCATTGCTTGTTTGGTCAGGTTTATCAAAGATCGGATGGTTGTAGGTATACAGGTATCTCCCTGCAGAATGGGAGAAAGTTCTTGCAATCTATCCATCTGACAAAGGTCTAACATCTAGTATTTATAAGATACTTAAACAAATTTATGAGAAAAATGAACAACCCCATTAAAAAGTGGGCAAAGGACATGAACAGACACTTCTTAAAAGAAGACATACATGCAGCCAACAAACACAAAAAAGCTCAACATCACTGATCATTAGAGAAATGCAAATCCAAACTACAATGAGATGCCATCTCACGCCACTCAGAATGGCTATTACTGAAAAGTCAAAAAACAAAAGATGCTGGTGAGGTTGTGGAGAAAAGAACACTTTTACACCGTTGGTAGGAGCATAAATTAGTTCAACCATTGTGTGGCAATTCTTCAAAAACCTGGAGGCAGAAATACCATTTGACCCAGCAACCCCATTACTGGGTGTATACCCCAAGGAATATAAATCATTCTATTATAAAGATATGTGTATGCAGCACTATTCACAGTAGCAAAGCACTATTCACAATGGCAAAGGCATGGAATCAACCTAAATGCCCATCAATGGTAGACTGGATAAGGAAAATGTGGTACATATACACCATGGAATAATATGCAGCAATTAAAAGGAATGAGATCATGTCCTTTGCAGGGACATGAATGGGGCTGTAAGCCATTATCCTCAGCAAACTAATGCAGGAACAGAAAACCAAATAACGCATGTTCTCACGTATAAGTGGGGGCAGAATGATGAGAACACAAGGACACATGGGGGAAACAACACACACTGAGCCTTGCAGGAGGGTGGAGGTGGGAGGAGGGAGAGCTGCAGGAACAATAACTAATGGATGCTGGGCTTAATACCTAGGTGATGGGATGATCCATGCAGCAAACCACCATGGCCACGTATGTAAGGAAGCTGCATATCCTGCACATGTATCCCTGAACTTAAAGTAACAGTTGGGGAAAAAAAAAAAAAAACTTCATTCCAGTTTCAATGCAAGCATTGGAGGGTTCTAGACAGGGAAGGGACTGCAAATGATTCTGTCTTCTATCTGTAGAAGATCTTCTGGGTGCTTTGTTGAGAATGGGTTGTGGGATAGTAAGAATGGAGGCTGAGGAACCACTTAAGAGGCCAGTTCAGCTGAAACAAGAGTGTCACCGTTGCCCTTAAATAGTTTCTTCAGGTTTTTCCTCTAATGCCCTCCTGGCCTTTGAGGATGTAATGCAGACAAAGAGACCAGGGAAGTCCAGATCCATTTTGTCCCGTTCAAGCTTCTTTTCTCCAACCCATGTCATATCCCAGCACCCTCCCCCTTGCAAAACATGAGCTCTCATACATGAAAATGAAGGCTGATTCAGATGCACTAGGGAGTGGCAGAGATAGGAGACGAGAGCTGTTGTCATCAACAGCCAGATCACAATGCCACATTTTGTGGGCATGACACTGTAAAGCCCATATGGATATAGAGTTCGGATCCCCTCTGAGTACCCCAAAAGAATCTATACTGGGGCCGAGTGTGGTGGCTCACACCTGTAATCCCAGCACTTTGGGAGGCCAAGGCGGGCAGATCATGATGTCAGGAGATCAAGAACATCCTGGCCAACATGGTGAAACCCTGTCTCTACCAAAAATACAAAAATTAGCTGGGCGTGGTGGCGTATGCCTATAATCCCAGCTACTTGGGAAGCTGAGGCAAGAGAATCTCTTGAACCCGGGAAGCGGAGGTTGCAGTGAGCCAAGATCGTGCCACTGCACTCCAGCCTGGTGACAGAGTGAGACTTCATCTCAAAAAAAAAATAAAAATCTATACTGGATTACTAGTTATTATTATCTAGACTTTATTGAATATTTCATGGGAAATATGAAGACTAGACCTCACATGGCACACCTTACATATTCCTGTTTTCTCCAAGACCCTGTCCTAGGATAAAAAAGATGAAAAGGAGGCATGTACCAGGAAGGAGCCAGAGCAAGCAGGGCCTTGTATGTCATGCTCAGGGGAGCTTTTACGTATTTTGGGGATTATGCAAAAAATAAGACTCAAACTACACATAGCGGAGAATAGAGCTACAGTGACCAACGTCAGACTAAATATTGACTAAGCATATTTGCTTCCTGAGGCTGCTATAACAAATGACCATACACTTAGTGGCTTAAAACAACACAAATTTATGATCTTCCTGTTTGGACGTCAGAAGTCTAAACTGGGTCAGCAGGGCTGGTTCTTTCTGGAGGATCTAGGGGAGGATCTGTTTCCTGATCTTTTCCAGCTCTGGAGGCCGCCTGCATGCCTTGGCTCATGGCCCCTGCCTCAGGTCACTCTGACCTCCGCCTCAGTCATCACATCTCCTCCTCTCACTCTGACTCTTCTGCCTCCTAATTTCACGGACCCATCAGCCCACGCGTAGAATGCAAGATAATCTCTCCATCTCAAGATCGTTCACTTCATCACATCAGCAAAGTCCCTTTTGGCATGCAAAGTGATCTGTTTACTGGCTCTGGGAATTAGGACATAGGCATCTTTGGAGTGGAGGGACGGGGAATTGTTCTAAAGACTGAAAGCAAAAGTTTGTGCCAAGTTTCATAAGAAATAGTTAAATCCTGTTTTATGGCCTCAGTTGGCATTCCAGCTCTGGAGTGGGGATGACCCTGTGCATTGTGTCCCCACTCCCAGGAAACCAGGGCATGCTTTACTGGGATCATCCTCCAAAGTAGCAAAAAAAACCTGCTGTGGTGGAAAGAAACCCTTGGGCATGGGTTCTCATCTCTGCACAGAAGAGGTGTGTTGTGTTGCGTTGTGTTGTGTTGTGTTGTGTTTGTTTTGTTTTGTTTGAGACAAAGTCTCACCCTGTCACCCAGGCTGGAGTGCAATGGCGCGATCTCGGCTCACTGGAACCTCCACCTTCTAGATTCAAACGATCCTGCCTCAGTCTCCCAAGTAGCTGGGATTACAGGTGTGCACCACCACACTTGGCTAATTTTTTGTATCTTTAGTAGAGACAGGATTTCACCATGTTGGCCAGGGTGGTCTTGAACTCCTGAACTCATGATCCGCCCACCTCAGCCTCCCAAAGTGCTGGGATTACAGGCGTGAGCCACCGCGCTCGGCCCAGAAGAGGTGTTTGGCCTACTCCTCTCAGCAGCCCTCTCCTCCCTGGGGCCAGGTTTTTCAGGATGCCAGAGTCCTAATGGCATCCTTCCCTCTCTTGCGCCATTTCTAGACATGTCAAAATTTACTCTCTCTGTCCCCGACACTTGACTGATCTCTTTGTGACAATGTGGCTGTCACTTACTGGGCATTTAATACATGAAAAAAATAAAAACTTTATTGAGCTCTTACTATTTGTCAGACACTATACGAAGAGGTTCATATAGATTATCACACTGAATCCTTCCAGAAATCCTATTAGATAAGTAATGTTACTGTCCCTCATTTTATTAACAGGAAAAGGAGAAGAAGACACTGAGGCACAGAAAGGTTAGGTAACTTGCCTAAGATCACTCAGCTGGGAATAGGCAGAGTCTTTGTTGAACTCTGGTCTTCTGACCTGGAATTTATGCTCTTACAAAATTACCCTTCTGTAGTCCCAGATACATGGGAAGCTGAGGTAGGAGGCTCACTTGAGCCCAGGAGTTTGAGGCCACCCTGGGCAACATAGCAAGACCCTATCTCTAAAACAAAACAAAACAAAACAAAACAAAACAGAAAAGTACCCTATATTGGAAGAGGTGAATGGATGGAAGGCAGGAAATGCACTGACTGTTGTTAAATAGCATTGGCTTAGGTGCTAGAAAGTCTAGATTTCCTATCCTGCTTCACCACTCCTTGCTGGATGACTTGGACTAGTTTCTTCCCCTCTCTGGGCCTCAGTTTTAACAGATACAACATGAGGGGCTTGCATAGAAAGGAGCAGGTTTGCTCCGACACTAGCTTTCTGTGTGTCTAATGCTGGTAGCCTGTTGGTTACCACCCCACCTTGCTTTGACCTTTAAATATGCCCACAAGACGTGGCATTTGCTGTCACATGGCCACGTACGGTCAGCAGCACCAGGGCTAGGTTCCTGAGGCCCCCTCACGTGGCACGGCCTACAGCTCCCCTATCCCTGGGGCCTCCGGCAAGGATCCAGGCGGCAGCCGGCAGCGGCAAGCATGTGCTGTTTCTGTGGTTTCTACTTAGAACAGTTTCCTGTTTCAACCTGCCAGTTCCTTAAAAGCATTAGCTTGAGGTTTTGCCGAATGACTCCGCTCTATTTTCATAAAGGGGTGGAGGGGCTCCTCCTGGGAGCCGAGCCCAGAGCTGAAATTCCACATGAATTAAGGGTATATCGAGCTTGGAAGTTCATCTCCTGAAAATAGTCTGGCTTGGGGTGACTTTCAGAGAATAGGGAGAGTTCCTCCACCAGCCAGATTCTTGGGCCCAACTTGTCTAAGAGGCTGCCTCCATTCCCTTATCTGGGCCTCAGTTTCTCCATATCTTACATGAGAGGGCTGGATCTTCTCTCCAGATTCTAGGCAGTCCCCACGTCTCTGTTTAGTGTATATGAAAGTAATGAGCACAGTAGTAGCCAACACATGTATAGCCCTTCCTGCACTGTTCTAAGCACTTTATAAATGTTGATCCTCTGAAGTGAACACTCTTCCTGTCCCCATTTTATAGATGGGAAACAGAAGCAAGTGATGTTGACTAATTTGCCCATGCTCACGTTACCTTCAAGTGGTCAAGTCAGGAGTTGAACCCTGGTGATCTGGCTCCAGAGCCCTTGCTGCTGGCTCTCTCAAAATAAGACCTTTCTGGCGGCAGATGGCTTACTATTGAGCAGGGCGCAGTAGGTGTGATCTCAGAGGGCTCAGGTTTGAGTCTTGGATTCATCATCTGCGTGACCTTGGGAAAGTCACTCAATTCTTTGGAACCTCCATTTTCTCATCAATGAAATGGAGCTAGTTGAACCCATGTTGTTGATCTGCCATAGTGTGTAGGCAATTTGAGGTGAAGATTATTTATGAAGAAGCTCGGGACCAAGACAAGCAGTCTCGTAACATAGGCTTTTATTATTATTCCCATATTTCACATCTCCTACTCCCGCCCTCGGTTCTGGGGTTATTAGCTAGATCTGCTTTTACTAGGGAGGGACTCCAGAAGGAAGGTCCAACTGGAATGCTGACAGCTCCAAAGCCACCTTCCTAGCCTAGAGATAGGGTTTGGGGGACTGGCAGTGACTTCTTAGCAGCCTTGAGTCAGCTGTCCAGAGTGGATGGCCCTGTGAGAGCCAACACTTCCTCCCCACCCCTGTGAGGCATCTGGGTACGGGTGGAGCCCCGTGGGAAACTGGCCTCGGCCACCAATTCCAGACTTCTATCCGCCTGACTCCTTGGCACTGTCCGAGTAAGAGACATCTCCAATTTAATCCACCCAAACAGAACTCTTGATTTCCCCCTTGAAATCTACTCTTCCCTTGGTCTTCTCTATCTCAGTGAGGGGCATGACCCAGGTTGCTCAACCTAAAACCCTCCATTCACCTTTTTTCCTTCACAGCCTGTATCCGAGCCATGTGCAAATTATGTGGACTCTTTGATTCGATCTCCAAATTTTTTCCCGACTCTGCTGTCTTTTCTCCACCTTGGTACACCATCAAGGGTCAAGGGAGAGGTGCTGGTAGCCACCATCGTTGTTTATTTAGTCTACTTAGGCAACCCCAACTCACCACCCTGTGGGTACGTTGTCCCCTGCCTCCCCTTGACACAACCAAAGGCATCTGCTTGGGAAAATACTTCATCAACTCCCTGCTTAAAACCCTCTATGGCTTCCAAATGGACAAAGACTAAGCTCTTTACATGGTCTCCAGACCCTTCGAGATGCATTGAACCGTCTGGCCTCATCTTCCACCGCTCTTCCTCTCGCTCATTTGCTCCTGCCATGCTGGTCTCTCTGCTTCTTAAGCAAGTTAAACAAGCTCCTTCCTACCACAGGACTGTGTAGCACCAGCCACTTCCCTGCCTGCAAGGCTTTACCCTCAGATGTTCCTGGAGCCAGCATTTTGTCATCAGTCAGGTTCCAGTTCAAATGTCCCCTTCTCAGAAAGCCTTCCCTGACCACCCCATCTAAAGCATTCCCTGCTCCCACTCACTCTTCTCAACACTTCTGTTGTTTTCTCAGACGATTTATCATCTGACATTGTCATGTTTACTTAATTGTTCAGTTGTTTACCATCTGCCCCCTTCACTAGAATGATAATGAAGGCTGAGAAAAGTGCATGTTTTCACAGCTATATTTACACTGTACCACCAGTGGGAGCTGGGGGGAATCTGGCACATAAAAAGCACTCAATAAATAGTTGTAAAATGAATTCAAAAGTGTGCTATGTCCTGGAACAAGTTAACTCTCTGGGCTTCAATTTGCCCATTGATAAAATAAAGGAGAATGAAATGGGTTGTATCAAAGGATTCTCTTTGTTCTCACATTTTCTGGATCTCTGGATCCACAAGTTGCCCTTGGGATGGATGGATGGATGGATGGATGGATGATTTCTGGGGGTTTTATTGAAGACACCTGGGACAGAGGAGTTATCAGGAGCAAGATGGAGGCAGGGAAAGGGGGCAAATAACTCCAGTCAGAATGTGCTTCTTTTACCCCAAGTGAGAGAGAGGCATGATCCCCTCTTTCCTCTGTGCCCACCCCATGGACCACCTTTACCCATGGCTGCACCAGGGGAGGTGGCAGCAGCAGCTGCCTGCCCACCACCGGGAGCTCCACCCAGGAGATAAAAGGAGCCGAAGGAATGTGCTGGCAAAGCTGACGTCCCTGTCTTCTCAAGGGTGTAAATGGGTTTCCTGCTCCCACAGGTTCAAAGAGCACTTCATTTCACAGCAAAAGTACAGCTAATGAGAAACAGATTGTCTGGCTCCAGCTGCAGCTCTGAGAGCCCAGGAGGCAAAGGAAAGCCCCCAAGAACCTGGATGTGAACGTGTGTACTAAGGGACTGTTTCCTCCCCTTTCTCTGGGGCCACAGAGCTATTTCAACGGCAGGGGAAGGAGTTGCAGAGAGGTGGGGGTAGAGGCAAGAGCAATGTCCCCACTGGCAGTTAAGAGGAGCCCTTGGGAGAGGGCTTCTGAGCTCTGGGTCTTCCAATCATGCTGAGTTCTTTTTAGGCCTGGGCGCCAAGTCAGGCAATGCCTAATAATAATAACAACAGTTTCCTTGTACTGAGAGCTGCCAAAGTGCCACCTGTGGGGTGGGAAGGCCACGGGCTTTGAGGCCACAAGGCCGGGTTTATGGACTCTGGTCCTCAGTTTCCTCCAGCCAGTTAGCACAGTGGTGGTGATCAGTGAGAATCCCAACACTGCTATTCACTGGGCAGTGAAAATAACACTATTTGGAGGTCCTGAGGACCTAGGTTCTAGCCTTGGTTCAGCCAAGTGTGATTCGGGGCAAGGCAGGCTGAGGCAATGGGCCTTGGATAGCAAAAAGGACTTACCTTAAAATTTTGATACTTCTCACATGGGCAAGTCACTTGGGCATTTCTGAGCATCTGTTTCCTCCACCGTAACCAGCACCAATAACATCAACCTCATGGCATGTAATGAGGGTCAAATGAGAAGAGACACATAAACTGCTAGCCCTGGGTAGGTGTTTGAGGTTGGGGTTGGAGCCCAAAGGCCTTAGACGCAACAGAGCAATCTGTGACCAAACCAGAAGACAAACCCAGGTTGGACTCACACTCAAACAATACAATAAAAGGTAACCAATAGTAGAGTGGGTACAATATCCCATGCTCTGTGCTGTAGATCTTAGTGTATCCTCACAAAAAGCACATGGGGCCGGTACTACCATTGCCCTTAAATAGCTGAAACCAGGGCTTAAACTGAAAAGACTAGATTCCAGAGTGTGTGCTAAGTTACTAGGCTATTCTTCAAAGTTTGTAGCTTCTCCTCTCTGCTCTGGGTATCTACCTGCTTCCTGGGATCCAATTGTCAGCAGACTCAAAGTGCCCAAATTGGGTAGCCAGCTGTCCCCTTGTCCCCCCTTCCCCTCCAGGGTGTTAGAAAGACTATTTCCCTCATTCAATAAATATTTCTTTTCTTCTCTCTCTCTCTTTTTTTGTTTTTTTCTGAGACAGTCTTGCTCTGTCACCCAGTGCAGTGGCTGCAGTCATAGCTCACTATAACCTCAAACTCCTAGGCTAAAGCCATCCTCCCACCTCAGCCTCCCGAGTAGCTGGGACTACAGGAACATGCCACCACACCTGGCTTTGTTTCTTTTTTGTTTTTTTGGAGAGATGGTGTCTCACTGTGTTGCTCAGACTGGCCTTGAACTCTTGGCCTCAAGTGATCCTTCCACCTTGGCCTCCCAAAGTGCTGGGATTACAAGTGTGAGCCACCATGCCCAGCCTCAGTAAGTGTTAGAGTGTTCATTTCTTGAACATTTACTATATGCTGGGCATTTGGATGCAACGGTGAACAGAACAGCCACACACAAAACAATCCCTATCTTCATGGAACTTATATTCTGGTGGAGTGGTGGGGAAAATGAACAAATGGACAAATGAGATTTTAAACACCAAATCACAGTTTCACCAGTATTCGTTTATCAAAGGTTGTAAGATACTTATCTGTGGGCTCCAAAAGAGTTTGGTTCTTGCATTCTTCCTTATAATATTTAATACTAACTGTATGCTAGGAATTATGCCAGGAACTGAGACGCAAAAGATGAATAACACATGTACCTTACCGTTGGTGAAGTCCTATTCTAGGAGAGAAATAGACATATTGAGTAATTTTAGTATGTGGTGCTAAGAACTGTTTTAGAGGATCCCCTCCTCCCCAGGACCTCAAAGAGGGGATGAGGGAAGAACCAGGAAAAGCCTGAGGAAGGCTTCATAGAGAAGGTGATGTCTGAGCTGGTCCTTGGAAGATGAGGCTGATCTGTCGACCAGATAAAAATGGAAGTCAAGACTTCCTGGAATAAGAAGTGGACATAAAAGCAAGAATATGCATAGCATGTTTGGGAACAGAGAGTAGTCATTCTTATGTGGGTAAAGAATAAGTTGGATGTAGAGGAGAAATGGGACAGGAGAGTATAATATTAAAAGGAACGCTGGGTGCCGGTAGGTAAGTCATGTGGAGTTGTGGGAGACCTGTAAGGGTGTGATCAGTCACACATGTATTTTATCTTTCTGTCTTCCTGTTCATTGATCCTGTCTTCATTTGTGTCTAAAGTTATGTTAAACCTATCTCTTGGACACTTAAAATGAGTTATTTCATTATTCAGTTCTGGAATTTCTGGTTGATTTTTTTTTTTTGGTCAGTTTCACTTCTATGTGGAAATTTTCCATCTTTTTCATTTATTTCCTTGAACATATAAATCAATTGTTACAGTCTATGGCTAAGAATGCCAATATATGGATTGCCTTTTCTACATTTTCTTTTTTCTTTTTTTTTTTTTTCAGTCCTTGAAAAAAGGACTATGAGACAGTACTTGTCTCATAGCATGCTTGGCTGCTTCCAGGTCAGGGGCACACCTCGGGTCCTACCAGTGACCACCCCTTGCTCAAAGAAGCAGTTTGGAGTCTTTCCCTTGGCAGAGCATTGAGGTCAGAGAAGTGTTCCTTTAAAGCACACAGTGGACATAGCAGAGATCATGGTGGACTTGGTGGAGCAGAATCTGGGGTGATTCTGATGGAGAGGGCAAGGCAGCAGGGAGGGCCCTAGAAGGGGATGTGGGAGAATATGGGAAGCAAGGCCGTAAGCTCCCCAGCCTGGGCCCCTCCATAGTAACTGCCTACTCGCCAGACTGGGAGTAGCACAGCACCAATCAATCTCCACCCCACCCTGCTCCAGCTGGGAAAGACATCCTGGCTGTGTAAACTAACCTTATGAGTCTTATTCCAAGAAGGCCAAGGAATTCGACAGGAAACAACACAAGCTAGTCGCCTTAAATCTCTGTCTGGGCTTGACGTGATTGGATCTGAAATAGCTACAGAGAGCCTCATTCTTAAACCTGTTGAACCCACATGGATACATGCATGCTTGCGTGCACAAACAGAAAGGTTTAAGATGAGGCCGCCACGGGGTGAGGCCATACCAGGCCTCCATGCAGAAACTGAGACCAAAGCTCCCATTTCAAGTCAGATCCGCAGTGGAAGGCGTTTGACAGGCCTTGTCAGTCAGACTCCAGCAGTCTGACTCCACAGCCAAGAATCCTTCACCTCTCTCCACACTCTTCAGCTTGACCACTCTTGAGAGCTGGATTCAGCTCAGCAATGGCTGTTCTCAAGTGCAGAGTGAGCCATCTCTGCCAAGAGCTTGTCTTGCCAGCCGCTTCCTGGCCCCAGCCCTCAGCTTGCCCAAGTCTGACATCACCCATAACCCCCACCACCACCCCCAGAATAAAGAGCCACCTCAGAGGCTGAGACTGCCAGACCTGGTCCCCCACTCCTTCCTGGACATGTCTGGCTGACAACTCAGAGAAGCAGCATCCATTCCAGCCACATGCACAGCCCTCACTGCTCAGGGTGACCTGACTACCCCAGATCACCATGGCTGGGGCCTCATTCACCCGATATGGGAGAGATTGGTGATGTCAGATATTGGGCCCCAAACACTGAGGGCTTCCAGCCTTCATCTACCCAGGAGACTCAAGGGACCTTACAGGGGTCTTTCTTCTTACTGAATCTTAGGTGAGTTCAGACTTCCCTGAAGCAGGCAGGAGTATAGCATCGTGGGCTCAGGGGTCAGATCTAGCTGAGCTCTCAATCTGGTCTGCTACTTGCTAGCTCTGTGGACTCAAGCAAGCTGCTTAACCTCAGTTTCTTCATGTGTAAAGGGCAGATAGTTACCTTGCAGGGTTATAACAGGACTAAATGAGTTGATATATGTAAGTTTCTTAGAAGACTGCCTAGGACCCAAGGAGTGGTCAAAAGTAATAATAGGAGAGGTGAATGGGGAGTTAGTATTTACTGGGTACAGAGTTTCAGTTTGTGGAGATGAAACAGTTTTGGAGATGGATGGTGGTAATGGTTGTACAGCAATCTGAGTGTCCTGTATTTCATGCTACTGAATGGTACACTTAAAAATACTTAAAATGGTAAATTTTGTTATGTATGTTACCACACTTTAAAAAAAAGGTCAGAGAGGGCGTGTTGGCTCACACCTGTAATCCCAGCCCTTTGAAAGGCCGAGATGGGTGGATTACTTGAGCTCAGGAATTCGAGACCAGCCTGGGCAACATGGCAAAACCCTGTCTCCACAAAAAATTAGCCGGGTATGGTGTCGTGCACCTGTAGTTCCAGCCACTCCAGAGGCTAAGATGGGAGGATGACTTGAACTTGGGAGGCAGAGGTTGCAATGAGCCGAGATCATGCCACTGCACTTCAGCTTGGGTGACAGAGTGAGAATCTGTCTCAAAAAAACAAACAAAAATAACAGCTATGTTATTATTTGATGGGGCCACCTTCAGCTCCACATGGGGCCCTAGGGTAAACATCAAAACTTGCCAGCTGGACAGAGGAATGGCCTCCTCCTTCATTATGGAGTTTAGGCTCCATGGTGAGCTCCAGAAGCTTCTCCTACCCAAGAACATTAAACTGAAGTTCTCAGTGGTTCTACCCACATACCTAGTTGCCTGGGGAGCCCTCTGAATGACACACAGGCACACATACACAGAGATATGTGCCCAGTTTCAGAAAGACACACACAGACACATGTCCAAGTAGACAGACAGGAAGGGATGAGGTACTCAAGTGGGAACTTTACTCTTTGGAGATGGGTACACCAACTGCTTCAGGGAAAACGCTGAAGGAAATCAGATGGGGTTGGGGCAGGATCACCAAACACAGCCTCATTGTCCCATCCACATCTTTGTGTGGGCTCTACCCATTTGCAGCATCCTTTCTCTCCTTTGATCTTCTTCAAAACCTCCCAAGCCCTCCAGTGCTCTAAGGCTCAGCTGACAGCCACCTCCTCCAGAGGGCTCTCCAGGATTCCCTAGCTCTTTCTGGGCTCATTCTCTGCACTGACAATCAAAGCCTCCGTGGAGTACTTGGTTCCAGCACAGCTGTTGTTCACCAATCACTTTGTGTGTGCTGTCTCATGTCTCCTCTGTACTTCTTTCCTTGCACACTGCTCCTAATTGTGCAGACTATGCTTTCACTTTTTTTTTTTTTTTTTTTTTTTGAGACAGAGTCTTGCTCTGTCACCCAGGCAGGAGTGCAGTGGCACGATCTTGGCTCACTGCAACCTCTGCCTCCCGAGTTCAAGCAATTCTCTGCCTCAGCCTCCCGAGTAACTGGGATTACAGGCGCCCGCCACCATGCTTGGCTAATATTTTGTATTTTTAGTAGAGACGGGGTTTCACCATCTTGGCCAGGCTAGTCTTGAATTCCTGACCTTGTGATCCACCCACCTCGGCCTCCCAAAGTGCTGGGATTACAGGCGTGAGCCACCGCGCCCAGCCATCTTTCACTTTTTAAAAATGGTAGCATGCTGATGAATTTTTAGAAACGAACAAATATTTACGTTATTTCACATCAGCAATTCCCAAAGTGTGTTTCAGGAAACACCAGTGCCATAGGATGTCAAGAGGTATTAGGAGACAAAAGGGTTCCATACATTTGGGAAACACTGAGCTAAATAAACAGCTGTATTTATTACAGGACATACCAGAGACTAGAAAATGCCAACAATTACTTTAGTAGTGTGCTGGAACCAGCTCTTATAGTTCAGTGACACAAATTTGGTAATTTGGACTTGGCCAGGGTGATAGTATTTATTCCATGAAAATAAGCAAACGCTACATATCTGAGGCTTTGTTTTTGTTTTTTTCAGAGAGCTGGCTTACCAGCACATTACTGAATACCACTTCAAGAAGAGACTGTGGCATGTAGGTTTTCCTAATGTATTTCATCATAAAATTCCTTTATTATCTTGTGGGAAGCATCTTGGGGGAAGGAGCGCTCCGCAGAACATACTTCGGGGAAAGTTGTTCCATGCAAAGATACCCAAACTAAATACCATGGGAGATGAGCGGGAAGAACTTACATTCATTGAGCATCTACTATATGCTAAGTATGATGTTGGATGCTTTATATACCTGGCCTCATGTAATTCCCACAGAAACACTAGAAGAGGTACAAATAGTGCCCATATTTTGTAAATGAGGAAACAAAAGATCAAAGAATTTTTCCAATTTCATACAGCCAGGAAGTAGCAGCACAAAGCCTATCTTAATCAGAGATTATAATGTCTAGTGGGGTGGCATTCGCAACAAGATTTAGGTAATCATTTTAGAAGAGTTTGTTAAATAGCTCATATGCAGGTCATGAGCTATACTTAGAATCTAGTTATCTAGAGTTGCCAGAGACACTTCAAGAAAAAAAAAAAAGAAAAGTTACTGAAAGTCTCAGCTGGTCCACAGTCTTCAGTCTTGTCATCTGCTATGGGCTGGCATTCCAGAATATGCCAGACTTCTGAATCTCTTGGGCATTTTTTAAAAATGCTGGTGGCTTGGCTCTACCCACTCCCCAAGGCAATTCTAACCTGCAGCCAGGGTTGAGAACCACTGAAATTGTTATGAAAGGGTCCTTAGAGACCAGCCAGACAAACTCCCATTTTACAGATAGGGAAACTGAGGTCCACAGAGTGGAAGTGACCTGACCACAGTCACATAACTGTCAGTTGCTGGATAAGACTAGAGTCTGGGTCTCTTGGCTCCTGTACAATGCCCTTTCCACTTAGCATGAGGGGCCTTCAGATCTCACTGCCTAAACAGATATGATTTCAGCTGAAATCCAAACCCATTTTGGACAACTGAGGCTTGGCCACTTTTCCATGGAAAAGCTAACCTTATCAGCTAAAGGCATTCAGGAAAAGATGCTCCCCCTTGCAAGGAGACCATTGTCCTGAGCTGTGTACAGAATCAAGCCACATAGTTCCTTCTGTGTTCCTCAAGCTCATCTGGAAAGAATCCTCCCTCCTTCGTAGTCACACATAACTGGGTTACTGGGAAGGTCACTCCAAGGGGATTTGTACAGTAGCATTTTATTTTCTTTGGCATGGTTTCCTTTGGTGTTGATGCAGATTTGGTGCTCCCTGGGATATCTGTTTTCTTTTTTTTTTTTTTTTTGAGACGGGGTCTTGCTCTGTCACCTAGGCTGGAGTGCACTGGCACAATCTCGGCTCACTGCAAGCGTTGCCTCCCGGGTTCACGCCATTCTCCTGCCTCAGCCTCCCGAGTAGCTGGGACTACAGGCGCCCACCACCATGCCCAGCTAATTTTTTTGTATTTTTAGTAGAGACGGGGTTTCACCGTGTTAGCCAGGATGGTCTCGATCTCCTGACCTTGTGATCCGCCCGCCTCGGCCTCCCAAAGTGCTGGGATTACAGGCGTGAGCCACCGCGCCCAGCCGGGATATCTGTTTTCTAGGACATATTGTCAAGTCTGAATGGAGGCACAGGCCACCAAGGCAAGGATAGTTAAAATGACCCAAAGACAGAACCCACATGATCTTCAGCAATATGCTGGAGCCCACTGAAGGCTTGCATGAGAAGCAAAGCAAGCCTCTGAAAGTGTACCTGACCACGGAGGAACTAGGGGCAGAAAATTTAAAATGTAGGTGAAGCTTAAAGCCCATAAAACAGTTTCTACAAAGCCTACAGTGTTTATTCTTAAGCCTATAACTTTCTGGTGTACCCCTGAGGATGACTGAATGCAGACATTTTCTGGCAACTGAATTAATTTAATATACAGAATGATCAACCATGAGTCAGTTAAATGTTAGAGGTGGCCTATTACAGTGGCTGGCTTTGATTTTAGAATAGCTCATTCATTCATCCATCCATTCAATAAATAATGACCAAGCATCTGTCCTGGGTTTGACGATACAGTGATAGACCAAAAAAGGGAAAAAAAATACAGTGTCTCCACTCATGACACTTAAAATTCATGGGGAAGAGAATGGGGAGAGGCACATAATCTAAAAGCAAATGAATAAGGAACTATCACAGCATGTGCAATGAAGGAAGTGAGCAAGTGGAAGTGATAGAGGCCAAGCCCAGTGGAAGAAGCTTTGGTATGAAGGTCACAGAAAGTTTCTCTGGACTGCAGATAAAACAGGGATTCGCACATTCCAGGCAGAGGGAATAGTGCATGCAAAGGCTCAGAGACAGACAGAGCTTCTTGACTCAAGGATCTCAAAGAATGCCAGTGGGTCTGAAGCTGAGTGAGAAAGGGGCAAAGGGGAGGAGAGGGCACTGAGCAGATGAACAGAGGTCAAGCCCTGCCAGCCCTGGTATTTCAATTGCAGTGGAGAGCCACTGAAAGTTTCAAGCAGAAATGCCACAACAGAGTTTCTGGGAAATACATCAGAACCCCAAATCACATGGTCTTGTGAGCTATCCCCGCTCGGGCTGATTATGACAAGAGGCCAAGCCACTTTTGCTGCAGCAAATTTTCTTTGTCTGTCATTAATTAATTAGCTCAGTCAAGCAGTCAGTAGCAGCTCACCTGCAAGGCACTGTCCTACACACTGGGGATACAGTGAGCAGGACACCCTAGACACGTCCCATGAAGCTTGTATCTGGTGGGGGAGGCAAACAATGAAAATGAATCATATGCTTTGAAATAGTGATAAGTTCCATACAGAAAATAAAACAGCAATATTAGGAAGAGTGCATGAAGCAGAAGCCACATTAGTTGAGACAGTCAGGGTAGCCTTCTCAAAGGAGCTAATATTTGAGCTGAAACCCAAATGATAAGGAGCCTGTGGCCATGAGAAAACTAAAGAGCACAAGTGGCAGGGGAAAGACCAAGGACAAAGGCAGCCTCAATTGAGGAGTCAAGGTGAAATTCTTCCTGCTCGGCAGCAGAGATGGGTTTAATCTTCGTGAGGTTGTTAGCCTGGGATTAAAAAGCCAGAAAGACCAAGATGTAGGGCTGTGGCCCATAGGACCACCCTCAGGTCACCAGGCCAGAGTCAGTGCTGGAAAGCTGAGGCAGGTTGTCAAACTGAGGTTAAGAAAAGAGGGCATCAGACACCTGATCAAACCATCCAGCGAGTCTTGCCCTGTACCTCGTTCTCCACCTGCCCCTGGCCCACAGACCAACTCCTGGAAGCAAGCATTTCCGAGAAGATGTTTGAACTTGGTATTATTCAAGAAATGCAAATTCTAACAAAATTAGGTAAGAAGTCCATTTTGGCCAATCAGATTGGTTGGCAAGGGTGAAAGTGATGGATGATACCCAGGAGTGTTGAATAGACCTCTTGGCTTGCAAGGAATTGAGATTTCTTCCAGTGGTAGCAAGTTGATAAGAAGGAAGAGGCATAGGCAGTTATTTTGAGTACAGGTGCACAGGAATCTGGAGAAGGACAGCAAGAGAGCCTTGGGATGGACAGGAACATTGAAGAATCTTTCTTCTCCATAAACACAACACAATTACTCTGCTTGCCCCTCTCTCTGTCTCTTGCTTAGAAACAGCTCCTCTTCTTTACCCTCAGCTTCTTCTCCCCCATCACTTTGGCTGGTGTTTAAACTTTATTGGTCACCCTTTAGTTAATGACCTTTCAGACCTATTTCTCACTGCTAACTGATGAATTATTTTCTTGTTCCCAAAACAAATTCCCAAGAGAATGAATCCAATTGGTTCAGATCGTCTCCCCATGCCAAGTCATTAGACATCCTAGGGCCAGGTATCCACTCCTGGTTCGATCAGTTGAGGCAAAACTCAGCACTGGAGCATGTGCACTCAAAAAATCCTGGCCACCCAGCTGTTATGGGCTGTGTAGGGTGACCAACCCATTCCAGTTTGCCCAGGAGTTTCCTGGTTTGAAAACTGAAATTCCCATGTCCAAAGACCCACCTCAGTCTTGGGCAAACAGGGACAATTAGTCACTCTACAGCTGTGGGTAGGACAGCTCCCTTTGGAGATGTGGAAGGAGAAGAAGAGTGAAGAGCATCTCCGGCATGTCACTGTTAGGCAGGGTATAGAGAAAGGGCGATGTTCATCTGCTGATGGTGGGAGTGAAAATTGTTATGATCTTTCATGGGGGGCGTGTATTAGTTCATTCTTGCATTGCTATAAAGAAATACCTGAAATGGAGTAATTTATAAAGAAAAGAGGTTTAATTGGCTCATGGTTCTGCAGGCAGTACAGGAAGCATGATGCTGGCATCTGCTTGGTTTCTCGGAAGGCCTCAGGAAACTTAAAATCATGGCAGAAGGCAAAGTGGAAGCCAGATGTCTCACATGGCCAGAGCAGAAGGAAGAGAGAGGAGGAAGTGCTACACTTTCTTTCTTTTTCTTTCTTTCTTTTTTTTTTTTTTTTGAGACAGAGTCTCGCTCTGTCAGCCAGGCTGGAGTGCAGTGGCACAATCTCAACTCACTGTAACCTCTGCCTCCCAGGCTCAAGCAGTTCTCCCGCCTCAGCCTCCCAAGTAGCTGGGATTACAGGCATGTGCCACCACGCCTGGCTACTTTTTTTGTATTTTTAGTAGAGTCAGGGTTTCACCATGTTGGCCAGGCTGGTCTCGAACTCCTGACCTCAGGTGATCCACCCTCCTTGGCCTCCCAAACTGCTGGAATTACAGGCATGAGCCACCGCACCCAGCCCACACTTTTAAACAACCAGGTCCCATAAGAACTCACTATCTTGACAACAGCTCCAAGGTGGATGGTGTTAAACCATGAGGAACCACCTCCATGATCCAATCACCTCCCACCAGGCCCCACCTAGACACTGGGGATTACATTTCACATGAGATTTGGGCAGGGACACAGATCCAAACCATATCAGGGCATATCTGGAAATATGTATGAAAAGTAAATACACACACACACACACACACATACACACACACATGTGTGTGTGTGTGTGTGTGTGTGCATATATATATATACATATTCTTTGACTTAGAAACACTTTTTTGGGGTAATGTATCCAAAATAATCAGTCCAGGTTATGAAGATTTATATGCAAAGCCATTCACTGAAACATTATTTGTAAAAGTAAAATAATGGAAGTAACCTAAATAACTACCTGTACAGTAATCCGATTAGTGAAATAAACCAGCATATGTCCAATGGAATACTTTTTCAACATTAAGAATAATAACTTGGCTTTCTAGATATTGATAGGGAACTTCTCCATGAGACAGTCTTAATGAACTAAAGCAGAAGATAAGATAGCCTTTATAGAACAATCCCATTTATGTAAAAAGGAAAGAAAAAGATGCATTGAAAAGAGTTGTGGGGGAAAAAAAAAGAAAAAGGAAAAAGCTTTGGAAATATCCCACTGGTGGGATTGGAGGTGATATTCCTTTTTTAAACTGTTTGGGTTTTTCTGAATGTTTTGTACTGAGATTATTACTTTCACATTTGGAATTTTTTCTATCTTTTAAAGGGGCGTAAAAAAAACCCTGGTTCAACAAACCTGATGAAATGGTGTTTTCACTCAAAAAAGTTTCTATTTTCCAATTTTGTTCTGGTTTGTTAATTTTAGGACACGCAGAGGTTTGATGCAAGTTCCAACTGATCCACTTGGGTTTGGTTTTGTTTAAAAACAAAAACAACTTTGATTTCATCTGTATTACGTTTATAGAAAATTAATATTGGGATTTGGTGCTGGATTCAGCCATTTGAGCCATTGGTTCCTATTCTTGGTTTGATGCCGTTCAAGTTGTTCCTCAGAATTCCCACAACAACCCTGAATCATTGGAATGAAGGCAGAGAGAGATTTTGGAGCCTGAATTATCTAGAAAATTGTTGTCTGTCTCATCCTGGAAGGGCCTGCAAGAGGTCATTTTCCCCCGGGCACAGAACAAAGCCACAGCTGGGACATTTCCAGAAGGCCTGTTGGCCCCAACCACAGTGTGGCCAGAGCCACGCTGCCCTGGGACCTCAGCTCCTCTGTGCTCTTAGCCTCTGCTTGCTGCTGCAAGACAGGAGCTGGCCCCACTTCCCATCACTGCCCCGCAGGGCTCGAGTGATTCTCTCTTCCATGCCAGGCCCGTGCACAGCCCCCAAAGCAGCTCCATCTGGGCTGTGCAGCCTGCGGCAAAAGTCCTTCCGCACGGAGTCATCATGCATCCCACGCCAGGAAATGGCTGGCTCAAGGGCCCCGTGAGGGGTAACTGAGCTGCTCACCAACAGCACATGCATCTTGCTCCTTTTTAAAGGTTTTTAAGGTGTGCTCTCTGGCTGTGTCGAGGCCTGGGTGCCTTCCTCTTGGAAGAAGGTGTGAAGGTGAGGAGAGGGAGGCAAGAGTGATAAAGACCAGAGGGGACCCCAGAGTTCCTGCCTCAGGCAAGCTGCTTCTGTGAAATGAATGGGGCAGCCCTCTCTCCCCAAACCACCGGGTAGGGTCCCCAAAGGGCTCATTGAAGACCCTGGCCCTTGAGGCTTTTCTGGAGACCATCTAAGCCTCAGCAGGGAGAGACGATGGTTTTAAAACTGTGTCTTCCTTGGAAAAATGTCTTCAACTGCACCTCAGTTTCCTTTTTTTAAACCAGCAGAGAAGTACACCTCCTGCACGGGGTTGTCAGAGCCTTAGAGAAAGTTCTGAAACTGCCTACTACATCGTGGTGGGAATGGGCCGCCTGGAGTGCAGGCAAGAAGGGGCTGCATTGTCTGCAGATAATTTAAAAACCATTATAAAGCTTACTAAAATCTGAGCTGCTTTGTATTATCCCCACGCACCACCGTTTCTAAACAATGCCAGTAATAAATACTCTTCATCATCCGTGTAGACTGCCGTGACAGCCCCCAACGTGGCCACACCACTGCCTGCTGCAGATCACACACTCCATTAGTCACAGTGCTTTTTTTATTACTAAACAGTATTAGCAATTATATGTAATTGGCTCTTATTCATATGCACTAATAATCCAACTGTCAGATGTGAATGCTAAGCTGTAATGTCATAGATGGGGAGATCCTGAGCAGATCATCTAAGGGCTCTAAGTCTTAGTTTCTGATCTATGCTGCAGAGCACTGGCAGATTACAAAGTGTTTTCCCAAAAATTCCCTCTGAATTCTTACACTGGCCCTATGAAGTGGCACAGTGATGCCCATTTTGCAGTTGAGGAGACAGAGGCTTAGGCAGGTGAAGTGAACAGCCCAGGAGCCCTTATGGAAAGGAGACAGAGTGCCTCCAAGCCCCTTCCCCATGGGTCTGTTGTGGCACCAGGGCTTAAGGCATTGTCTAGAAGACTATCAGGAGGCAGCAGGCCAAACCATTACCACCTGGAGGTAATTGACACAGATAGGAAAAGGGAAAAAATCTCCATTTCATGCCAGTTACTCCCACTTATTATCTCATTTGGGCCTCCCAGATGCCTCAAGAGGTGGATTATTCCCAGTTCACAGGAAAGGGAATCAAGTCCCAGGAAGATAAAGTTTACTTACCTGGAGGTACACAGGCAAATAAGAGGCAGAGCTGAAAGTAAACCCTGGTCCATTTGAGACTGACACTCTGCACCTAATGTGTTTTCACAGTGGCCCTGAGTATCCAAGCAAAGAGCATTTGGGAAAAGAAAGGCTGAGGCCCATGCTTCTCAGAATCACAAGTGACTACAAGTTGAGGTCTAGGAGTGAAAGAGATGACTGACGTTTCCTCCATATGGCCTGGGGTTTTTCTGACTTACACTAACATGAGTCCCTTATTATTTGTGTGGCAAGTGCCCTTGGCTCCAGAGGAGGCTAGGAAACATGTCCACATCCGCTCATGTATCCTCTAAGCTTGCATCATTTGTGATAGTCTGGGACTGAGAGTCTTTATGCGTTCTCTCATTCATTCATTACCCATCATGGGTTTTTATCAATATCATCATTATTTTATCATTAATATGATTGAAGCAATGTATGCACATGAGAAAAATTCAACAGATACTGAAGGGAGGACAGCAAACAGTAAAAGTCATAGAAGGACATCATCTTAAAGGGTGAGCAAGCATTTAAATGTGAGTATGCTGACACAGGAGACAATAGGAGGAAGATGGTCTCTTGGGGAGGGGAGGTGGGCAGGCAGAGAGAAATGTCCTGCCCTCTAGGGAATTCCAGGGGCCAGGGAAGAAGGTGAAGAGAGAGTAGGGTTGGGGTGAGCAATTTGGGAACAGAGAGAAGGAGAAGGAGCAGCCCTGGGACAACATTCAGGACTCTACAGGAAAAGAGGCAAAAGAAAACAGTGGGGTACATATGAAAGAGACTGGTCAGGGAGCAAAGGGTGCCTCAGCACCAAAAGGCTCTAAATCAGTCAGATCAAAGTCAGTGTGCTGCAAATTAATTCTTTCTGAGTCTCCCTTCTCAGGTCCCCCATCTGCCCCTCAGCTGCCCCGTCTCTTTGCCATGGTCTCCCTTTTTCTACACCTTGGTCTCCCCACTTCTGCCTGAAGAATTCCTGTTAACATTGCTTTTAGGGCAAATCTACTGGTAGTGAATTATCTCGGCTTTTATAGATGTGTAAAAGTCTTCATTTTTTCTTAATTGTTCAAATATATTTTTGTTGCGTGCAGAATTCTAATTTTAGCATTTTCTGCATCAACACTTTAAATACGCCATCCCATTATCTTCTGGCCTGCATAGTTTCTGATGAGAAGTCTGCTGTCATTCTTGTTTTTGTTTCTCTGTACTTATGGTGTCGCTTTTTTCTGGCTGCTTTGAAAAATTCCTCTTTGTTTCACTGTTTTCTGCAATTCAATTAAAAGTTCCTCAGTATGTAGGTATTGAAGGAACATACCTCAAAATAATAAGAGCCATCTATGACAAATCCACAGCCAACATCATTCTGAATGGGCAAAAGCTGGAAACGTTCCCCTTGAAAACCGGCAAAAGACAAGGTTGTCCTCTCTCACCACTCCAATTTAACATAGTATTGGAAGTCTTGGCCAAGAGAGTCAGGCAAGAGAAAGAAATAAAGCACATCCAAATAGGAAGAAAGGAAGTCAAGCTATCCCTGTTTGCCATTGATGTGATTCTATACCTAGAAAATCCCCATGGTCTCAGCCCAAAAGCTCTTTAAGCTGATAAACAACTTCAGCAAAGTTTCAGCATAGAAAACAAATCAATGTACAAAAATCACTAGCATTCTTATATACCTACAACAGCCAAGCTGAGAGCCAAATCAGGAACACAGTCCCATTCACAATTGCCACAAAGTGAATAAAATACCTAGGAATACAGCTAACCAGGGAGGTGACAGATCTCTACAATGAGAACTACAAGACACTGCTCAAAGAGATCAGAGATGACACAAACAAATAGAAAAATATTCCATGCTCATGGATTGGAAGAATCAATATTGTTGAAGTGGCCATACTGCCCAAAGCAATTTACAGATTCAATGCTATTTTTATCAAACCACCAATGACATTCTTCACAGAACTAGAAAAAACTATTTTAAAATTTACATGGAACCATAAAAGAGCCTGAATAGCCAAGGCAATCCTAAGCGAAAAGAACAAAGCAGGAGGCATCACACTACCTGACTTCAAACTATACTACAAGGCTACAGTAGCCAAAACAGCATGGTACTGGTACAAAAATAGGCATGTGGACGAATGTAATCAAATAGAGAGACAAGAAATAAAGTCATGCACCTATAACCATCTGATCTTTGATAAAGTCAACAAAAACAAGCAATGGGGAAAGGACTCCCTATTCAATAAATGGTGCTGGGATAACTGGCTAACCATATGTAGAAGATTGAAACTGGACCCCTTCCTTACACCATATACAAAAACTAACTCAAGATGGATAAAAGACTTAAAATGTAAAACCCAAAACTATAAAAATCCTGGAAGACAATGGAGGCAATACCATTCTGGACATAGGAACTGGCAAAAATTTCATGATGAAGACACCAAAAGCAGTTGCAACAAAAGCAAAAATTGACAAATGAGATCTAATTCAACGTAAGAGCTTCTGCACAGCAAAAGAAACCATCAGCCTAGTAAACAGAAAACCTCCAGAGTGGGAGAAAATATTTGCAAACTATGCACCTGACAAAGGTCTAATGTCCAGCATCTATAAGGAACTTAAATGTGCAAGAAAAACAGACAACCCATTAAAAAGTGGGCAAAGGACATGAGCAGATACTTTTCAAAAGAAGACATACATACAGCCAACAAACATGTAAAAAAAGCTCAACATCACTGATCATTAGAGACATGCAAATCAGGACTACAGTGAGATACCATCTGACATCAGTCAGAATGGCTTTTATTAAAAAGTCAAAAAGTAACAGATGCTGGTGAGGTTGTGCAGGACACTTATACACTGTTGGTGGGTGTATAAATTAGTTCAACCACTGTGGAAAGCAGTGTGATGATTCCTCAAAGAGCTAAAACCAGAACTATTATTTGACCCCACAATCCCATTATTGGGTATATACCCAAATGAATATAAATTGTTCTACCATAAAGACACGTGCATGCATATGTTCATTGCAGCACTATTCATAATAGCAAAGATATGATGGAATCAACCTAAATGCCCATCAGTGGTAGACTGGATAAAGAAAATGTACATATACACCATGGAATACTATGTAACCATAAAATAAAATGAGATCATGTCCTTTGCAGGAACATGGATGGAGCTGGAGGCCATTATCTTTAGCAAACTAATGCAGGAACAGAAAACCAAATACTACATGTTCTGACTTATAAGTGGGAGCTAAAGGATGTGAACACATGAACACAAAGGGGGACAACAGACACTGGAGCCTGTTTGAGCCAGGAGAGTGAGAGGAGGGAAAAAAAATCAGAAGGAATAAACATAAGGTACTAGGCTTAGTACTGGGGTGACAAAATAATCTGTACATAAACCCCTGTGACACGAGTATACCTATATAACAAACCTGCATATGTACCCCTGAACCTAAAAGTCTTTTAAAATTATCTTAAAAGAAAAAAAGTTACAATATAATTTCAGTTTCAAGGATAAGTTCTAATAATACAAAAATTACCATTTCTACCCTGAAATAATACAATAAAATTTAAATATTTATTTTAGGTACATAAGTTGTATGCTTTTTACATTAGTTAAGTGTAATTATGTACCTCCAACCAAAAATATTTCAATGATTTTTATCAAAAATGCATTTGAAATAAATAGACTATGAGTTTTCCTAATAAAGCCAATCTCCTGATGAGTAGATTGATTTTAGAAAATTTTGTTTAGATGAAATTACATTGGGTGGGATGCATTTAAGGACATTATGAAAAGCACCTCAAGACTTTTGCCATCAGTTTTCTTCTCTTTTTCCCCTTTGGATGAGACTTAGAACATAGGCAAAACTCTCTCTCTCTTTTTTTTTTTTTTTTAAGCGATGGAGTCTCCCTCTGTCACCCAGGCTGGAGTGCAGTAGCATGATCTTGGCTCACTGCAAGCTCCGCCTCCCGGGTTCATGCCATTCTTCTGCCTCAGCCTCCCGAGTAGCTGAGACTACAGGCATCCGCTACCACGCCAAGCTAATTTTTGTATTCTTAGTAGAGACGGGGTTTCACCGTGTTGGCCAGGATGGTCTCAGTCTCCTGACCTCATGATCCGCCAGCCTTGGCCTCTAAAAGTGCTGGGATTACAGGCATGAGCCACCGCGCCCGGCCAGGCAAAACTCTTTATTTAACTCCATTGGGTCAGAAATGTACAGATCCTGAGTGTGTATAATACCAGATTTAATTTTCCCAGTGAATTGTCACTGTTAGACCATTTAACTGCTCTAATTTATTTATTAATTTTGAACCCAAAGCAAAGTCTACCTCTTAAGGAAAATAAAAGAGCAAAGAGTAAATTCTGTATAAATCACATGTATTAAATAGTCTAGTGATAACTTTTTCAAGAAAATAAAAATTGCAATAATTTTATCTACCCTGATTTAAGGAGACCCAAGAAGTGATTTTAAAAAATATCTGGCAGCATAAAATGCCTCTAACTAACCCCAGCATCTAGACACTCACTAATATTTGATTTCTAATTACTTGTGTAGTTTGTCAGTCTTTAGCACAACGAAATCCAATTGACCAGAACATTTTGGTTAGATTGCACTTAGCTATGACTAAATTTTTACTGTTATTATTCTAGTTTCTTTGTGAATGTCTCAACTTTACTGCATCATTAAACTTTAAATTCGATTTTGATAATAAGAATATTTTATAAAATTTTTCAAACAACTGCAATATTCACACAGGAACTATGGTACTCTTAAAACCACTGTCATTTTTTTTTCTAATTTTAATTCATACCCAGTTCTTTCAGGATTGCTAAAGACAATGGCACTTTGATTTTAATTAAGTACTTCATTTGAAAGCCATGACTAATAAATGTCAAATGCTAAAGGTTAACATATGTTAAGTGGATATCAGAAGATCTTTTGTAACACGAAAAGAATTCAGGTCTGAGGGCTCTTAGTTTCAGAATCACTGATAAATAGTGCAGACAAGATAGGTGAAAAATAACTACCTTAATTTAGATGCTTCTATTTATTTATTTATTTGAGACGGAGTCTCACTCTGTGGCCCAGGCTGGAGTGCGATCTCGGCTCACTGCAAGCTCCGCCTCCCGGGTTCACACCATTCTCCTGCCTCAGCCTCCCGAGTAGCTGGGACTACAGGCACCCGCCACCACGCCCGGCTAATTTTTTTGTATTTTTAGTAAAAACAGGTTTTTACCATGTTAGGCAGGATGGTCTCGATCTCCTGACCTCGTGATCCACCCGCCTCAGCCTCCCAAAGTGCTGGGATTACAGGCATGAGCCATAGCGCCTGGCCGATGCTTCTATTACTTTATTTTTATCTTGGGAATCAATGAGCTCAACAATGGATTAGACATTCCTGTCACTAAGTCTCTACGCTTCAGAAGATAATACGTAAATAATTAGATTTGTTGTTTACTGTCTACATTGTCCATATCTATTATGTGTTACCAAAATATTGAAAATAAATACATGAATTTATTCCTGAAAGAAAATCAAGAAAATACTTAAATCACACACACAAAAATAAGTTCCTCAGTATGGTTTTCTTTGTGTTTTTTCTTCTTATTTCAGGTTCATTGAGCTTCTTGGGTTTAAAATTTCCATTGTTTGGAAACATTTTTTTCATTAATATTTTCATAATTTTTTCTGTACTCCCCTCTCTTCTTCTGGGATTCCAATAACACATAATGTCAGACTGTTTGCTATTGTTCCACAGCTCACTGCGGCACTGTTTGTTTTGTTTTGTTTTTCTGTGCTTTATATTGGGTAGATTCTATTGCTACAGCTTCAACTTCAGTTGTCTTCTATAGTATATAATTTGCATTTAATTTCACTTAAATGTATTTTTCATTTCAGATATTATATGTTTTATCTCTATAAATTCTATGAGCATCCTTTTACATCTTTAACCTCTTTCTTCATCAGCTTCATGTTTTTCTTTATATCCTTGGACATATTTGTAAGACTTAATAGCAGCTTTTTAATGGTCCTTGTCTACAAATTCAACCTTCTTATAATTTCTTGATCTGATTCTGTTGATTCATTTTTCTCCTGGTTATGGGTTATATTTTTCTGCTTTCTTACATACCTGGTAATTTTTTACTGGATGCTGGGTATTGTGATTTTTATGTTCTTAGGTGGTGGATTTTGTTGTGTGTATTTCAAGAATACTAGATTTTGTTCTGATGAGCAGTTAAGTAATTGCATCAGTGGGAGGGCAGTTTCTGTAACAGCTAATTATTCATGGATGGAATCACAAGTCCTCATTGAAGCTTTTTAAGCAAGAGTGTGACTCAATCAACTGTGTGTGTTTCTTTAAAAATCAGTCTTATTATTACTCTGCAGAGAACAGATTAGAAACAACAGTGGATTCTAGAAGGCTAATTCTGAGTCTGTTGAGAAAAGTGATCATGTTGACTTGCTTTCAGGGAAGCAGCAGTTAAGATGGGGCATATTTAAAATATGTTTAGAATTTATAGGACTTAGGGATTGATTGAATGAATATGAGGAGTTAACGAGGGAGAAGTAGTTATCGAGGATGATTCCCATTTCTGGAATGAGCAACTGAGTAAATGATGGTGTCACTTATTCTAACAGAACAGTGGAAATTTGGGGTGAAAAACCATGAGATCTGTTTTGAAGATGCGTTACCTATGAGACATCCAAGTGGTTGATGTTAGGCAGGCTGCTGGTCTGAAGTTCAATACAGAAATCTGGGCTGAGGCTGCTTCCTATTACATGGTGTTTAAAGCTATTTTTCATTTACAGCCTAGAAGCACTGGCCATATGAGTGCTTGTCTAATCCCCTAGAATTGTGAGGTCTTAGAGGGCTGGCTTGATGTGTTTTCCTCTTGTGTTGGCTGATGCATTGGTTGGCACGTGACCGGTGCTTAGTGAGTGTTTATGAAAGGGACAATAGCTGTTGGGGACTCCTTTTTTCATGTTTCTGAGTTTCCCCTTGCCTCCTGGTTGTCTAAAATGTTGCCTTAAATTTCATTGTTCTTGTTTGTTTTTCTAGTCCAGGCAGACTTTTCAAATTAGCATGTTAGTCATTTGTGGAGGGTCATGACCCTCCCTTGTTTACAATAGGGCCGTATTATGTCAGCTCAGAGATCCTATCCTGGAGCTGGAGTTGGGACCAGATAATGCAGGAGCCACATCCCTTCCAGGGAGGCTGCTGTCCAAGGCTTGGGCTACTTGGGCAAAATCTCTCAGATTCCCAAGGGATACTTTAAGCCTGTGGAATTTCACAGACTTCACATGAGCTTAAGACTCTTATAGTCTCCATAGTCAATCCCTGAGTTAACCTGAAAGTTGCCCAAAGGAGGGAGGAGTCAAGCCTATTTTAAAAAGAGGAAGCATCTGAAAGCCTTGGAATTCAGAGACCGTATACAAAATTTCAGGCAGAAATTTTCGATTGTTGGAACAAGCTTTGTTCTAGGAGCAGAGAACCTGAGTTCCGGGCCTGAGATTCATTGTATAATATTGAGAGAACAACTTCCCTTCTCTGGTCCCATTATCCCCCATCTAAAACTAAGAAGATTGGATTCGATGACCTCAAAGTGCTCTTCTATTTATTACATTCAGAGGAATTCTATGTCCTGGGCGGTATGAGTCATAGACCTTGCCTCAAGGTGCTTAAAATTCTAGAACTGAGATGAGAGGTAGACTCTGATATTCCCATTAAGACAGACACCCTGTTTCCTACAAATGCACTTGTATACAAATCTCTCTAGAGGAGAGGCCCTGTAGATGAAAAACAGAATCTTACTTTGGACTTCACAAGTAAAACAGCTTTTAGAATTTTACAGCTTTATCCAGAAATGAATCTTGTATCTTTTTTGTCTATCCTCATCTTTTGAAGGTAAACAAATTGGGCCCCGAGAGCAATGTGACTTGGTCAAGGTCACACAGTGAGTCCATGGTAGAGCCTAACTCAGCACCTACCCCCATCCCTGCACACACACCACCCTAAATCTCATCAAAACTGTTTCTCCACCACTCTCTCCCTTTTGGCACCACCTCCTGTCTCTGCAAGCTCTGCTGTCTCTGCAGTGGAACATTCCTGCACAGAGGGGATTAAAAGAGCAGGGGTGGAATGCTAAGCCTCCCTGCCCATTGGCAAGAGCATTTCTCCTGAACTGAGCCCAGCAGGGTTCAGGGGAGCCCAACGGCCCATGTGGAGGTCTGGGTTGTCAGAACCAACTTCAGCCTACATGCCAGGGGCTGTCCACACCCTGCCCTCCATCACGTAAAGCCCCCCAAAACAAGTACTCCATGGTGGGGGCACTGTGGAGTTTGGGTGTTGTCCTGGAGTCTTTCTGGGCCAACTCTGTCAATGTGCTCCGCCAAGCTCAATGGAGCCACTGGAGACCCTGGGCCAAGCTCTGTGGGAAGCCCGGCCAAGTTTCAGAGCGTCTAGCGCCAAGGCTGAATGTCTGGTTCAGTGGAGAGTAAGTCCAGATGTTTGTCTCCGGTCAATCTCTTATTGGCTTTCTAACTTTGGACACGGATGACCTACTGGGGCCTCACAACCTTGGGTAGATAAAATGAAGATGATGTGTCACCCCCCCATCCTGGAACACATTATCTACCCTCCTCCATCTCATGCCACTGAGTACTTGCAGAAATTAATGTCCCATATCTTCTTCAAGTACAGAGAAGATAAATAGTATTTACTTCCTACAGTTAGCTCTCAGTTAATCACCAAAGAGTGATATTAAGGGTATATAGATGCTCTAAAATTCTTTCAATAACAATGTGTATTTCCAATTGCATTTACTAACTACCTAAAATGATTCTGGAGCTTTGCTAGGTACTAAGGATAACAGAACTAATAATCCACCATCATTGCCCTTTACAGACTTTCTAATGATGAAGAAAAACAAACAAGAGTTATTATTTATAAAACACTAGCTTTTAAGGAGGTAGGTCCTTCAAACAACAACAACAGCAAAAAAAACACTTTGCCACATTTTTGGGTTTGGAATGTGGGGCTTCCACATCTGGGGCAAGGATGAATTGTTCTGTGAAAGAAACGGTAAGAGATTTTATGGGAGATGAACAGGTAGAGAATAGAGTGGATATAAGTTGGCAGAACTTTGTACACAATTCTGATAAGGTAAGAGTGATAGAGAAGCTCTGGTTAGCATCTCAGCCAAAGAAACGGGGGAGAAAAACCATGATCAATAGAGATTCATGCAGATATGTGATGTCAAACCCCTTCAGACCCCACCTTGAAGTTGTCAGTAGAATCTACTGTGTGAATTTTTTCTGAGGAATGTGAAGAGGTGCAGAGTTCTATATACTTCAGAACTTGAAGCCAAGGCAGGGTGTATCAGTTATCTATTGCCACAATAATAGTGTTTAACCAACAACCCCCAAACCTCTACATACAACAAACAATAAGTGTTTATTGCTCATGAATCTGGGGTCAGCTAGGGTTGACTCTTCTGATCTTGCCTGGTCTTGTTCACGTAGCTGGGGGCCACCTAGATGTCAACTAACTTAGAATGGCCCGGGGGACTGGGCATCTCAGCTCTGCTCCGTGCATCTCTCTTGCTCCAGCAGGCTAGCTCAGGCATGCTCTCATGCTGATGGCAGAGTATCAAAGTTCAAGCAGAAATGTGTGAGTGCTTGTTCAAGTCTGTATTTGCTTCAAATCCCACTGGCCAGAGTCAGTCAAGTGACCAGACTCGGAATCAAGAACTAGAAAAATATACGTTGCCTGTGAATGTGAATGCACAGTGACTGATAGCATTCCAGGTGGTGGCTGTTCTATCAGCCTCAGGATGACTTGAAGCAGAGTCCCCAGCTGACCCTCAGTGAACATATTGCATCATCAAGAATAGACTTTCTTTGTTTTAAGACATGGGATTTGGGGAATTTGGTACTTTTGTAAACCTAGCCAACCTAGCCTATCATTACTGATACAACCATCTTATATGGATTGCTTATCAACGTGCCAGGCATTACATTATGTACATTTGGCATTTATTCATTCAAAAAATATGGAATGCCTCTTACATGCCTAGAATTGAACTCAGTTCATCCTCATAACAACCCAACAGGATAGATATAATTATCTCAGTGTTATGAATGAAGAAACTGAAGCTCAAATTGCTTACATAATGTGTCCAAAGTCATACAGCCAGTAAATGGCAGAGCAGGATTTAAACACAAGTCTGTTGGATTCCAGTGATCATGCTCTGAGCTCCTTCATTCTACTCCATTTCTGTTGATGTTTCCTCCTGAGGACTCTCTATTTTAGAAAAGTAACTTGCCACTGTAGGTGGATTTTAATAGAGTGGCCCACTTAGATCAGGGCATTTAAAGCAGGAGAGGGTCTCCTCTTGGGCAGGCTCCTTCATACATGTTCGATCCACATCCTAGTCCCACTTAATGTCCATGACTTTTAACACCAGCTGGAGTGATAGGGCAGCTGGCTACCTTACCAGTGAGTTATGGTTCTGTGGACAGAGAGAGATTTTTCTTTCCCCAGTGTCTTTCCCCAAGCTGCAAGGAGGACATTGTTAAACGGTTGGGCAGCAGGAAGCAGGCTGCACCACAGGCAAAGCTAGAATGAAATTTCATTCTGGGGAGAGGTAAATCAATGCTGGAGACAGGAGACACAAGCCTTGAGCCAAACCATGATAAGAAGGGGAAACAGAGAAAAAAGAATGGAGCCATCCTGACAATTCCTCCTTTCTCCTACAGAGAGGAGAGAGAGGGGATAGGAAGAGTAAGTTGAGAATAAGGAAGGTGGGAAGAGCCGTTTTCACCCACTCAGGACAGGAATGCATTCATTTTTTCATCCAAGAAACATTTATTAAGCATCTGCTCTGTGTCAGCCATCATGCTGGGTGCTGGAAAATAGAAAACAAGTTAAGTCATGGTCCCCATTTAGAGGAGATCACAGATGGGTGGAAAAGACATACTTGTAAACAAGTTAAAAGATGTTTACTGTACTCCCTTCTCTGAAACCCACTGAAAGCAACAAAAAGAATGAAAATATAACAGAAAATTCCATCTTCAATACAACTAGAAAATGGCTATGGGCTAAGATGATTAACTGCTCACCACAGTTCATTCCTGTCTTTCCATAATAGAGAGGAGTGGGTAAGGAACAATTGCCCAGGCAGGGACCACATTTCTCAGCCACTCCTTTGCATTTAGTTGAGCCATGTGATGAGTTCTCAAAGCTGGAATGTGAACAGATGTGATCTATGTCACTTCTGGGCCAGCATGGTCAAGAGATGGGAACACCTTCTCTACTCTCTCTCTTTGCCCTTCCCCTAGTAGAATTCAGGGTACTCCAAGACCCCTCAAAAGAGAAGGAGCCCAGTCCTCTGACTCACCATATGGCATCTACCTGCTGACCAGGAACATCAGCACTGGACCCTTACACTAGTGAGAAATGAATATATAACATGTTAAACCATTGCAATTTGGAGGTGTGTTCAGTTGTTACAGAAGCTAATATTACTCTAAAGAAAACAGGCTAAAACCCATATCTGCCACATTCAGTGAAGTTTGGGTTTCATCAGAGGAAGACAAAAAGAGGAGTCCTATATGTTACCAGATTTTCTTGAAAGTAAGATAAAAGATCCCTAAAGGCTGAATAAATAATCATTTATTGGAGAAAAAAAAAGGAAAAGAGAGGTAGGTGAGTCATAGAAGAGTAAAGTTCCCTGTAGTGACTCATTTCTATAAGGCAAAGGGCAAGGGAGACAGGGCTGTGGATAGGAAGGCACTATGTGGATAGCCAGTAGTACAAACCCTGACCTCCATTGCTTAAATGTCTTAGAGGTGAGGTGGAAGAGAAAGGGAGCAGCAGTCAGCCTTGCAGCTTGTCAGCAGAAGAGATGCATAAACATTAAATGGCCAGTCAGAGGACCCATGAATCTGTGGGGCTTTCTGGTGACCCACACTGACCTCATACTCATGGGAATGCTTCAAAACCTGGGGGAAATGTGTCCCCAGGGAAGAGCATATCTGATAAATTCTGAGACACCAAACTCAAATGGAATCTGCTGGTAGCCCCAGCTTGACTCCATCCCTGAGAAAATAACAGAACACAACAAGACGTTTCCAAAGTAAAACTACAAACAAGCAGACAAGATCTAACATGGGATGAAAAAATGAAAATGATAATGAAAGCCATTACAGAGGAGAAAATTAGCATCAGCAGAATGTGGGATTTATTCAGTTGATAATAGAGTCAGTAACATAGTAAGAGTTTTTTAATGAAAGAAAAGGAGAAATAATAAAAACAATGAAATAAAATAATGAAAAATACTTAGGAAATATGAATATGCATGCTGGACATTCCTAAAGAAAGGAACAGAGCAATAAGACAGAAACATATTCAAAGATATTATAAAAGAAAACTTTTCTGAACTAAAGAAATGCCTCTACAGAATTAAAAGTGGTCTTAATATACCATAGAACTTTGACGGAGAATGTTCAGTCAAAATTCTGAAGGAAAAATAAAGCTGGCCTCCAACTTCTCTTTATCCTTTAGTGCCAAAAGGAACAGGTACAAAATTCTGAAGCTATTGTAACAAACACATTTCAAATTTAAAAGCCAGTCTGGTTGACTTTCATGTATAAAGTAGCTGAAAGACATTCACCAGCACAGACTCAGAGAAAATAGCGCATGGAACTCATAAGTTCAATAGAGGAGGTGGACAACTTGATAATGAAATCTAGTCCCCCCAAAAATATATAGTCATTTCTCAGTATCCATAGAGGATTGGTTCTAGGATCCCCACACATACCAAAATCCATGCATACTTTAGCACCTACAGTTGGCCCCTTGAAACCCGTGGATACAAAAAGTTGGTCCTGCCTGTACACGATTTCATATCCTGAGAATACCATATTTTTCAACTGCCTTCAGCTGTGGAGGCAGAACTAAGGGACATGGAGGGCCAACTATCTTTATTGGAAAAAATCCACATATGAGTGGACGAACACAGTTCAACCCTGTGTTGTTCCAGGATCAACTGTATCAATATTATCAATTTAGGAATAGAAAAGCTGTAGAAAGTAAGCATTCATTGATGGTAAACATTGTATCCATTTAAATACCAAACTAAGGCTAAACAGCTGAGGGGCTCCTGGTTAGAGAACAGAAGGTAAATATCCTAAACCACTAGAGAATAAAAAGAAATGGCTTATATGTGGCAGGGGAAGGGATATGGGGAAAGGTATGCTTGCCCGAGTTTCTACATCTTTCATAGTCGAGAGTCTGTGGATGTAGAATAAAATTGGTAAATCAAGAAATAGGTGTTTCAGTATGCTATTTAAAGCATAATGGTAACCAGTTCAAGAATGAAAACCAGACTATAAACCTTCCAAATCATTAGAAAGAGAGAAAACATTAAAAATAAATAAATAAATAAATAAATAGCTCACAAACAAAACAAAGGAAAAAACAGAAACTTCAAAAATATAACAAAAAGTAGAAAACAAACATTTCATTTTAAAAAAGAGAATAAAATAAGATGACAGATTTCAACCAAATATATCCAACAGAACATTAATGGAAACAGAATGTACATTTCTACAAAAATAAAGATGTTCAATAAAAGTATAAGTTACAGGCCGGGCACAGTGGCTCATGCCTGTAATCCCAGCACTTTGGGAGGCTGGATTACTTGAGGTCAGGAGTTCGAGACCAGCCTGGCCATCACGGTGAGATGCCGTCTCTACTAAAAATACAAAAATTAGCTGGGCATGGTGGCTCACACCTGTAATTCCAGCTACTCAGGTGGCTGAGGCAGGAGAATCATTTGAACCCGGGAGGCTGGAATTGCAGTGAGCCAAGATTGCGCCACTGCACTCCTGCCTGGGTGACAGAGCAAGTCTCAAAAAAAAAAAAAAAAAAAAAAACAAGCTACAGAAAAATAATATTATATTACCCGATTTAGGCCAAACAACTACCTATACAGGGTAATTCCCCTTATCTACGGTTTTACTTTTCCCAGTTTTTAGTTACCAGAGCTCAATCTCAGTTCAAAAACATTAAATGAAAAATTCTAGAAATAAACAATTCATAAATTTTCAGTTGCACATTGTTCTGAGTAGCACGACGAAATCTCGTCCTGTCCAGCTCTGTTCTCCCAAAAACATGCATCATGCTTTGTCCACTGTACCCACGCTCTCTACACTACCTGCCTGTGAGTCACTTAGCAGCCATCTGTTATCAGATCGACAGTGGTGGTGTCACGGGGCTTGATTTTACTTCATCATGGCCGCACAGCACAAGGGTAGTGATACTGACATATTATTATAATCGTTCTATTTTATTATTAGTTCTTGCTGTTAATCTCTTACTGTGCCTAATTTATAAATTAAACTTCATCATATGTATGTATGTAATTGGAAAAACATAGTATATATATATATAGGGTTCAGTACTATCTGAGGTTTCAGGAGTCCACTGGTGGTCTTGAAATGTATCCCCCTCAGATAAGGGGGCTACTGCACATCCAGCCGTCCTTATGTATGCTTATTTATACATAGAAATTTCTGGGAGCCCTCCAAATATATTGCTAATTGTGATTAGCTTTGGGAAATGGTGCTGGAAAGATTTGAGGAGGAGAGGGATTCTGTTCTTCACTTTATGCCGAAAACATGTAGTACACCTGTATTTTGAAATGTAATTTAAATATCAAGTGTGTATAATATAATATGAAAAATGCCATAATGGAGACTCTACAAAGACAGGGCTTTGGGAAGTGATGGGAGAGAGGAACTAATTATGACTAATTATGCCTGAGGAAGCTAGAAAAGGCTTCAGAAGAGCGAGTGACACATGAGCTGAACTTTAAAGAATGGCTGTCATTTTTTGAGGTTCAGATCAAGCAGACAAAGCAGAAGCAGCGGAGACAGAAAAGCACATGGGTCTTTCACAAATGACAAGGCCTCCAGGGTGGTTGGAGCCCACAGTGAGCGTGTTGGTGGCCTGCGTCGGAGGCTTAGTCTGCTCGTCCCAGGGCCTGAATGCATGCTAATAAACACGCTGTGCTGGAGTCAGAAATGATGCAGAATAAAGCAAAGGTCATTTCTGGGTAGAGGACCAAAGGCTGGCCATCCTCTGAGCTCCAGCAGGCTGATGGGGATGCAGAGGTGGCTTCCCAGGGCTTCCCCACCTCCCAGGCTGCTCTGAGTCTCAGATCCTCAGGACCAGGCAGTGGTTGTTTGCAGCAGTTTCTAAACTGAAGGACCTACTAGCTCATGTGTTGCATTAAGATTCTTTGAGCTGTGTGTCTGCTGCACTCTCTTCTCTCTTTGCAGACCGTCCTGTTTTTTTTTTTTTTTTTTTTTGTCTTTTTGTCTTTTCTTTTTTGTATCAATGACAAACAAAAGCAAACAAAAAAAAAACAATGACCACAGCAGCTCTAGAGTAACATCACTTTTTCCTGCAAGGCTACCAATTACCCCAGTTGTTTTCTTGTTTTTGTTGCAAATCTTCAAGAGAGGTGATCTGATTGGCCTGCATGACTCCAGGGTCCAACCCTGGTCCCACCTGCTACCAGTGTATTTCCTACCAGGGAAAATAAACTTTCACCCCAGGAGCTCATTCCATGGATGGAGGTGACAGACAGTTTTCAGAGAATGTGGTGAGGGCCTACAGGTGTCTTCTAGACTCTGCCCTTATTGGTGGGTATCTTAGCAGGTGGCTGCATTTCTTCCTGTTTGCCCCTCTCTCTCTGCCCCATGCCTCACTTATACTTGGCTTTTTCTCTCCCCGCCACCACCCCCAGAACTAAGCCGGCTCACAAGATTCTGAAGGCAGCTTAGCCAAGCGTTTCTCCCCCATAACTACTTTGCTCTCATTCTCCTCTGATCTGGAGTACCCCCTGCAAAGTCTCCCAATCCCAGTCTTCACCCTCATCTGATTCACTGAAATGCCCTGAGATTATGGGCGGGTGGATGTAGAAGTAACCATACTTTCCGGGAAGGCAAACATCTATTTCTCTTCTGTTAGGCAAGACCTTACCTAAATCCTGCCAGACACACAAATATATGGCTTGTTTTTAAAAGTTCCCCAGAAAAGTAAAGGCAGCCCATGTCCCTGGCTACTCCTTCCCAGATCCACCTGCTAAGGGAAGTTCTCTCTTACAACTAACCAGGAGCTCAAGAGGGTGACCAGCTGCCTCTTGCTCAGTCTTCATGGGTGGCATCCTGTTGGCCAATATGACAAGCACAGCGCTGTCCTGGCAGTAGTCTTCTTCCTGATTTTGAATCAAGCTGTGTTGATGTTCCACAGAGCCCAGGGTATGGGTGAAGGAACCGGGGCGCCCAGCAAGGCCACTGGTCAGTTTCTGTGAGACTGCAGGAGTGGGAGGGGAATGAAGAGGAGTGACGTTCTGTAGGAGAGAAAAAAGGGAGGCAAGCATGGACTGAGAAACCAAGCTTTAAAGGAGGGGCTTATTCCACAAATGTGTCACCCCAAGCTCTCTCTTCATCACATTTTGGCTTTCCCAGCAGCCTGAGCCCACAGCCTCCCCATCCTGTGGGGCTCAAATTCACTGCCACCTCCTCTTTCCTACCAGTCCAGCCTCTGCCTCTGGAGTGTGATGCTTATGGACCTCTCTCTCCCATTTGCAGGGGGCAGGCTCATGAGCCCTCGCTTCCCATGTGGGCAGAAGAAATGAAGGTAAATTTGTCTCTGCCCTAGAATCAGAACTGTCCCCTGGTATCCTTCCTTGATCATCTTTAGCTTCTTCCTCCCTGTCTTCCTGGGAGCACCTGATCAGCCTTTCTTCCTGCCACAGCTCCCACCTGGTGGAGGGATGCAGGGAAGGTGGAGAATTCCCACCACTACCACCTCCTGATATCGCCTGCCTGACATGCTGGGGACAGTGCAGTTAGTAAACTGGGGGCATTGAGATGTGGAAGGAGCTCCTGAGCACAGGGAAAGGGGATGAAACTGCTGCTCCCATGAGAGTGACCCCATCCAAATAAGGCCATAACAGCTGGCTCAGGTCCATCCGAGCCTCAGGAATCCAGGCTCACAGTGGTGAGAAGAGAGTCAGAGAGGAGGTTGGTGTGGAGAAAGAGTATGTGCTTTGTGAGTGTCTTAATCCATTTCTGCTGCTATCACAAAAATACCATAGACTGGGAGGCTGAAACAACAAATGTATTTCTCATCATTCTGGAGGCTGGGAAGTCCAAGGTCAAGGCACTAGCAGATCCAGTGTCTTGTGAGGGTTTGTTTATTGGTTCATAGATGGCACCTTCTAGCTGTATCTCCACAGGGTAGAAGGGGAGATGGATCTCTCTTGGGCCTTTTTCCTTTTTTTGAGACAGTCTCGCTCTGTTGGCCAGACTGGAGTGCAGTGGCACGATCTCAGCTAACTGCAACCTCCACCTCCCAGGTTTAAGTGATTCTTCTGCCTCAGCCTCCCAAGTAGCTGGGATTACAGGCACCCACCACCATGCCCGGCTAATTTTTGTATTTTTAGTAGAGACGGGGTTTGACCATGTTGGCCAGGCTGGTCTCAAACTCCTGACCTCAGGTAATCCTCCTGCCTCGGCTTCCCAAAATGCTGGGATTACAGGCTGAGCCACCACACCTGGCCTCTTGGGCCTCTTTTATAAGGGCACTGAGAACCCATTCATGAAAAACTCTGCCCTGATGACGAATCACTTCCCAAAGGCCCCATCTCCTAACACCATCACATTAGGATCTGGGACTTAAATGCATGACTATTGAGAGGGCATAAACATTCAGTCCATAATGAGGACCAGACAATCCAGCTCTCTCCTCGACCCTCTTGGTGACCTTGGACAAGCCACGGTCTCTGGGCTCTAGTCTCCTCACTATTAAAAAACACTAAGAACACTCGGTGCCCAATAAAGAGAAGCTGCTGTAACTTTTGTCATTTAGGAAACAAAGAAAGCAGGTAAGAATTCCAGTTCCTATTTGTGCCTCCCCAGGAGACGCCCTGGAGCAAACTCAGGGCCAGAGTATCCCCATTCCTTTAGAGCAGGAGAAGATCACAGAGTAAAGGTCACTGGGCAGAATAAATGGCTTCCTGTATCTTACTCCAATTCTCATGGTACCCCGTGACACGGGAGTCCCTGTTTTACAGATGCAGCAACGAAGGCTCAGAGCAGTTGAATCCTCCACAGTCACCCGGCCATTAGGTGGCAAAACTGGGATTCAAACCAGGTCTGTCTGGCTCCAATGTCCAGAAGTCATTCATTTTCCACTCCTCACTTTCCACTCATTCTGACATGCAGCGAGGGCATAGACTGCTGTAGTCTCTGCCCTAGACTAGACTTTTCAGCTGCCCAATCTCCGCAGAGATGCTCCCTTCCCTAAGCCATCACTGTAGTCTTCAATGTACCTGCTACCCCCACTACCCCTAGTTGTACCAAAAGTTAGATGAGAAAAGAAATGATTTTTTAGATTGCCTATTATGTGCTGTGTGTTTCCACCACAAATCCCAAAGATACATATGATTATTCCCATTTTGCAATTAAAGAAATTGAGGCTTGGGGTCTTAGGTCGGTTGCCCAAGGCCCCAGTGCTAACACAAGGAAGAGCAAGCATTCAAACCTGGCTTTGCTCACCCCCAGGCCCCTGCCTACGGCTGCCTCTCCCTAGACACCAGCCCAAGTATTTTACCCGCTGAGGACTGCTTCAGGACAACCACCAGCACCGAAAAACACAGCCCAGCATGGGAGGCAAAAGGAGGCTTCCATCCAGCGAGAAAATCAAGAAGCGTGGCTGGACAGCCCCAGGCAGGGAATTTGGGAGGAATGGGAGTGGTGGAGGACAAGGCTCTGCCTGAGGAGCAGGTGAAAAAAAAAAATCTCTTTGAAAAACTGGGTACAGAGACGTGGAATGAAGCATGGGCTACCATCCAAGCTTTGGGATTTAGGTTGTTTTCCAAATTCCTATCAGAAATCCTGTAATTGAAAGGGATTGAAAGCAGGTCATTATGTCCCAAGCAGCAGACAGAGAGGATCAAGAGTTTTCAGGCTGCCCAGAGCCAGCTAACAAAGGGAAAAATATTTCTCTTTCCCCCAGATATTAACCCAGTAACATTCCCACCTCGGGCAAGACTTCCTGCCACTGAAAAATATATATGTTGACCAATTTTGAACGGGAAGTAGCAGAAGTAACTGTTCACCCAGCCAGTAGAACCAGAAGCACAGGCCAGAGCACCACGCTAAGGCCTCAGGATTGGGAGTTTATGTTCTCATGAGCCACAGACGCATGGAGTCACTTATGACCCCCTGACCTTCAGTTTCCTCATCTGAACATGCCCAACATGGAAGTGGGGTTGAAGGTACCACTGGACATTAGAGTTGATACATGTATATAGACGTAAGCGTTTACTCAGCAGCATTCAACGTATTGAGTGCTTTCAAATATAGTCTGACATCCACTGGGGATATACAGAATTGAACAAGACTGACTCAGTCTTTGTCCTGGAGGTCCCCTGGAGTCTCAAGGAAGCAGTGTCTGGGAAACAAATAAGGGTAGTTGATGACTGAACTATGGCTGTGCGATTGCTGTGAAGGGGAATCACAGGATGACCTGACCTGGGATGGTGACATTTGGGCTGAGATGATAACAGTAAAAATCACAACAGCCGACACTTACATGGCACTTAGGATGGGCCAGCACTATTCAGAGACCACAGGGATTCTTTGGAATTAACAATAGGGAGAGATGTGAACAGAGAATGCCAGACAGGTTGGGAGGCATGACAAAGTCCTTGAAGCGAGGAGGAAAACAGCAGGTTCGAGGACTTGAAAGACTATAGTAAGGGGGAGAGTGATACAAGGTGAGCTCAAGAGGGAGGCGGGAGTGGAGCAGGGTCTTATCTACTCTTTGGAAACCAACCAAAGTTTTAAGCAGAAGAATGACAGGACCAGAGAGTAGTTAGGAAGCTATTGCAATGGGCCTGGCAAGAGGTAATGGGGGCTTAGACTTAGCGGGCAGCAATGGAAAGAGAGGGAAACAGGATGAAGGCAAGGTATATTTAAAAGGGAGACCGGCCGGGCGTGGTGCTCATGCCTGTAATCCCAGCACTTTGGGAGATCAAGGTGGGCAGATCACTTGAGGTCAGGAGTTCAAGACTAGCCTGGCGAACATGGTGAAACCCTGTCTCTACTAAAAATACAGAAAATTAGCCGGGCGTGGTGGTGAGCGCTTGTAATCCCAGCTACTCGGCAGGCTGAGGCAGGAGAATTGCTTGAACCTAGGAGACAGAGATTGCAGTGAGCCGAGATTGCACCATTGCACTCCACCTGGGCGGCAGAGCGAGAATTCCGTCTCAGAAAATAAAAATAAAAATAAATAAATAAATAAAAACAAGACCTACTGGGTATTCATGTTTGATAAGTACCAAGGAGAACACTCAGCCTGGGCACCTGGGGCAGTGCTGGCACCAGTTTTCTGAGATGGAGAAAGCTATAGGAGGGGAGAGGTGATGGCACTGCAATGGTCAGTTCTGGTCTGAGAAGCAACAACTCCTCTTTGCTCCACTTCCAGCTCTGCTGATATTTAGTTGTGTGACTCTGGATAAGGCATTTCATAACATCAAAATCAAATGGAGCGGCTGGGCCAGGTGCAGTGGTTCACGCCTGTAATCCCAGCACTTTGGGATCCTGAGGCAGGCGGATCACCTGAGGTCAGGAGTTCAAGACCAGCCTGGCCAATGGTGAAACACCATCTGTACTAAAAATACAAAAAATTAGATGGACGTGGTGGTGGGCGCCTGTAATCCCAGCTACTTTGGAGACTGAGGTAGGAGAATCACTTGAACCCGGGAGTGGAGGTTGCAGTGAGCCGAGATCATGCCACTGCACTCCAGCCCAGATGCAGCAGAGCGAGACTGTCTCAAAAAAAAAAAAAAAAAAAAAAAATGGAGGAGCAGCTGGACTGGAAAATCTGTAGCTCTCCTTTCAGCACCAAACTCAATGGCTCTAGAGCAGGCATTTCAAATGGGTGACTTGGGAAGCTGGATTCAGGAGGCATGGAGTGGTTTATTTGACCCACACATATCAGTGTGGTAAATCCCCATAGCAATCTAAATCTCTGACTTTTCTTGAAAAAAAAAAAAAAGGAGATGTAGAAGATGTACAACACTCAGTCTACGTCAGATCCCCACATGGCGATGGTCGGCAGAGTTGAGTGGCAGCTGTCACTGCAGGATACAGACTCTCCTCCTGCTCCAGGACCCTCATCCCCTTCCACTCACCCACATGCCCCACATGACACCTGTTGAGGATAATACCCTTTTTCTATATAATGATAAGAGAGTAACTCAAATCATCAGTTATTTCTCAAGCTTATCCAACCCATATTCGCTAAATTATTCCTTTTCAGATTAAAAAGAAATAAAAAAGAACAAGAAAAATAAAAATTAACATTATAAAAGCCTCTTGTAATTCCAATACCCAGAGAAAATCGCCATGAAATTGGGGTGTGTTTCCTGCTAGTTTTGCTTGATAAAATTGGGATCATATTAAATGTGTTTTTTAATGACTTTTTTCTCACTAATACTATAACAGGCACATTTTCCCATCCTATTAAAAATTCTTTGGAAACATAATTTGGAAAGACTATATAATTTGCTGAATAATTTAAGCAATTATTCCACCATCATTTCTTAAATTTGTAGATACATCTCAACTCTGATTATTTCTTAAGACAACTTCTTAGAAATGGGATGATGAGGTCAAGGCGAATGTTATACAGTATTGCATCAGTTAATGACTGGGTTATGTCCTGAGCAATGCATCATTAGCCAATTTCGTCATTATGTGAACATCACAGAGCGCACTTACACAAACCTGGATAGTCTAGCCTACTACACACCTAGGCTAGATGATACAGCCTGTTACTTCCAGGCTACAAACCTATGCAGCATGCTATGTACTACTGAATACTGCAGGCAGTGGTACCACATTGGTATTTGTGTATCTAAACATAGAAAAGGTACAGTAAAAATATGGCCACAAGATAAGAAGTGGTACACCTGTATAGGGCAGCTCCATTACAATCTTGTGGGACCACTGTTGTATATGCGGTTCATCACTGACTACAGTGTCGTTATGTGGCACATGACTATATTTCTGAGGCTTTCGAAGTGTTGTCAAATTGCCCTCCAGAAAGTTTGTTCTCACTTTCATCATTCATCTTGCTAATTTTGGGATGTTATCACTTTAGAAAAACTCCTTGAAGAAGTTTTCCAGGTAGGGATATAGGAATCACCTGAGGAAACCCTGCTGTCAACAGAAACCCTACCTTGTGTTTGTAGAGCAGGAATTGTCAAAGTTCTTCTGTAAAGTCCAGACAGTAAATAGAATGGGAAAATGCCCTTGACATAATGTTACTTTTCTGCTTGCCGGCCATAAAGTCTGTCACCTGGCTCCGCTGCTGTAGTGTGAAAGGAATGTAGCCATATATAAACAATGGGGCATGGCTGTGTCCCAATAAAACTTGGTTTATAAAAAAAGAGGCAGTGGACCATATTTGGCCCATGAGCCACAGTTTGCCAATTCCTACTTTATCTCATTTCGTCCTCCCAACAATCTTGAGAATTAGATAGGGCAGGAAATGAGTGTGCCTGTTACACTGATAGAGAAATTGGGGCTCAGAGAAACCAAGTAACTTTTTGACGGTCACACTGCTAGTAATTGGAAGAGCCGGAACTTGAACCCACATTTTCTGACATCTGTTTTAGAGCTCTCTTTATTGCATTATGAGCCCCTTTTCATGAACGTGTAGCAGTGACAGTTAAAAAGCCATGAATGTAAAAAACATCCAAGGCATTTTGCCAAATGCATGGTGTGCTTGAGGGCTCAGAGTTCAGCAAGGGGAATCCTAATTCAATGCTTTCAAGTGCAAGAAATTGCTCTGTAGAGTGCCTTGCATTGTAAAGAGTTAGTGTTAATGCAATGTTTGACAATGATGTGGTTGCTGTTTTAGAAAAGAGCTTGGTGATGGTGGAAGGCAGCTGAATTAATAAACTCCTTCAAATGAAATAAGAAAAAACCCAACTCCAAGTAGTTAAGAGAAAAAGGAAAGTCATTGTTTTTGTTTCTTAGAATTCCAGGGCCAATGGCTTCAGGCACAGCTGGATCTAGGACCTGAAATGATGTCATCAGGGCTCTATCTCTGTCTCCTCTCTCTGCTCTGCTTGTTCCTGCTTCATTATTTAGATTAGATCACTTTATGTGGTAGACAAGAAGGCTTCTGCAAGCTCCAACTGTGTTCAAAAGAAAGGAAGACTCACTCTCCTAACGCCTTATTTCAGTATTTCACAGAAGAACTGTGATCGTCCCTTCTTGGGTCATGTTCCCCCACTGGATCAATCATTGTTCCTGGGAGGGATGCAGCACTCTGATTAACCACTGTTGTTTGGGAATCTATGCATCATATTTGATGCTCAATTGGGATCACATGGGTGGGATAGGAATTGTTCCTTTTAGGAATGAATACTAGTGGACCAAAAGTCCACGAATGCAGCAAAACAACAATCTGAAGAGACTTGCATCCATCCATTCAGTGAGGGCCCCAGTAGCAAGAGAACCTAAGAATTCTCCCAGAAACTGCAGTGTTAGCTTGCTTGCTAGTGTACTTCTAGACTATGAGGGGAAAGTAGAGAAGGGTATTGTTATGGGTTAAATTGTATTCCCCCCAACACACATAAAAAAGGTAAGGACAATGACATCTGCAAGGACACTATTTCCAAGTAAATACTTCCTTCTGAAGTACTGAGCATTAGGACCAGCATGAAGACATCTTATAGATGTCACCACAATATCACTGTTGTCCTTATAGAAGACGGCCATGTGAAAATAGAAACACACGGGATCACCATGTGGTGACAGAGGCAGAGACTGGAGTGACACAGCTGTAAGCCAAGGAACGCCAAAGATTGCCATCAACCACCAGAAGCTAGGAAGAGGAAGCCCCTACTTATTTCAGACTTCCAGCCTCCAGAACTGCGAGAATACATTTCTGCTGTTTTTAAACCACCCGATCTGTGAAGCAGAGCTACAGGAGCCCTAAGAAACAAGCATTCCAGGCAGAAGAAATGGCACCAGGAAGGAGCTGAGGGCATAAAAAGTATGGCCATGGAAGCCTAGAGAGGAGAGAGTTCTAAGGAGGAGGGGTTTGGTCAGCCTGATCACCTACCCCAGGAAGGGGGAAGGCAATTAAGAGGCAGAAAATGTCATCAACATCATCTCCTGCACTGCCCCCCACCCCGCTCCCCTCCGCAGAAGAAAGAGCAGGACCACACCATTGATATGGTCATGAATTATTTCACTGGCATGACACAAACAAGCTCACTCCATCATCACTTGCTGTGAGTCACCATCTGGCATTTTATTGGCTGAGCTTCTTGCTCCTCTGCAACCCGCATCACACCTATTTGTCCACTCTTGCATGGATGACCTTCCAGTTCTTGGAGGAAAGACCCTAATGTAGATATTTTCAAGAGCTTGGCTCTTCCAGGAAAAGTGGCCACAGGTGCCTGGCTTCAGGTGCCCTATGCAAATGTTTATTCTTAACGGAATGTGTCACAGCTAGCCTCACCAAGGCACCTTCCAAGGGCATATCTGCTAAATGATAACACATGGGTACCACAGGAGAGCTCTGTCTGGGCTTCTCCAAGAGTTTCTTCGTGTGCCTTTACAAGGGCATGTGCCTACCTGCAGTCCAGGCATCCACCCTATTGGTGAAAAATAACATCACCCAGAATAAATACTGATTCGTCAAACGCTGTGCAATAAAAACCTTCTCTTCTTTCTACTCAAAGCCTCATTTACATCCAGCGATGTCAAACTACTTAAACAACTTAACTCCAATCCAAGTGCTGGGACTAATAAAGATCAGATGGGGTCTAAAGAGATAATGTATATGAAAGCCTAGCACCCTCTGGGTGCTCCGTAAATGCTACTGCCCTTCCTCCCTGGCTTCCAGGGCCTTCCACCCTAGAAGGGGATGAGTCGTCCTACATCTAATTCCTGGGTGACTGCAGTAATCTCCAGACTGGTGTCCCTGCTTCCTCCCTTGCCCTTATCCTTATAGTCTATTCTCAATACAGCAGCCAGAGGCATCTTGCAAAATGTAAGTCAAATCATGTCACTCCTCTGTTCAAGATCCTCAAAAGATCTTGGCTCTCAACCAGTCTCTCAGTCTCTACACGATTGATATTTGGAGCTGGATAATTCTATTTTGTGGGGGCAGACTTGTGCATTGTAGGATGTTTTGCAGAATCCCTGACCTTTGCCTACTAGAGGCCAGTAGCATCCCACCCCCACTCCCAAGTTGTGACAACCAAAAATGTCTCCAGACATTGCCCATATCCCCTGGGGTCAGAATGGCCCCTGGTTGAGAACCACTCCTCTCCACCCTCTGCAACCCCTGCTGCCCCTCATCTCCCGTGCCCTCTCCTCCCTCACTTCACCAAGCTACATCGTCTTTCCCCAATCCCACATGACTAACTCTCTTACCTCTGCTAAGTCTCGGCTCAAACATCACCATCATAATGTGGCTTCGTGACAGCTGTATTTGAAATTGTGTCCACCATCCCATACCTCCAGGACTCTCTATCCCACTTGCCCTGCAGTTCATTTCATACCTCTTTTTACTTTCTAGTACTTCATAACTTGTTTTATCTATTGATCGTTTTTAGTATGTCTCCCACAACTAGAATATAACTATCTACATGCCTTCATGGGCTTTTGTTTGCTATATCCACTAATGTGTTCTGAGTGCTTAGAACACTGCCTGGTGCATAGGAAGTGTTTGCAAAATATTTGTTGAATAAAGTGAGGTACTATTGTGAATGGTGGATTGAGTCAGCAGCTGCAACAGCCAAATAGGGTGGAGAAAGCACTGTCTTCCTGGTCAGGTGAGCTGAAGTCCAGTCTTGCCCTGGTCACATACTGACCAGGAACCTCAGCCTCTCTGAGTCGTGGTTTTCTCATATGGTAAATGGGATCATATGTGTGTTCCATGGCTGTTGAGAAGATTAGAGGACATGTAGGTGAAAGTGTATCTAGAACAAATCCAGGCACAAGGTAAATATCCAGACATTGCCAAATATCCCCTGGGGCCAAAATGGCCCCTGGTTGAGAACCATTCCTCTATACCCTCAAACCTGCCAGGCAAGCCATTTGGCACTATCCCTGACCTTTGTCTACTAACTCGATGCCAGTAGCATCCCACCCCCCACTCCCAAGTTGTAACAACCAAAAATGTCTCCAGACGTTGCCAAATATCCCTGGAGGTCAAAATGGCCCCCTGGTTGAGAACCACTTCTCTACACCCTCTGCAACCCCTGTCGACTCTGCCACCTCATCTCCCATACTCTCTCCTCCCTCACTTCACCAAGCTACATCACCCTTCTTGCCATTCCTTGAGCCTGCCAGGCAAGCTCCCACCTCCCTTATCATGGCAAGTGATATGTGAAACATAGAAAAGATTGATTGTGCTGAGCTTTAAATAAGAAGTAGAATTTAACAAGTGAAGATATGTGGAGAAGGGGAGGAATCACATCTTGCTGAGTTTCACAGCTTTCTTCTAGAGCATAGAAAAAAGTCAGCCCAGCCTGCATTTCTGGAGCTGGGACATTTGATGTTAGCAATAGCCTAGATATATGGAAGGAACCTCAAGAGAGAGGAAAAACTAAGTTTGGAAATCCTTTGATTTTTGACTTTAGATGTTGACTTTGAAATATGCCATGAACATAAAAGAGAGGATAATGAATGGAGTTGGACTTGTAGCTTGGCACTGAAATTTACAACTCTGAACAAATAGGAAATTCTGAATCCAAAGGATGAAACCTACTAGCAAGTTGAGTACACAGGATTGCCTTCTGGAACAGGGAGTCAACCTAGATCTAAGGAGGCTTTGTTGGGCAAACCAGGTAAACCAGTTGGCCAGTCTGTGCAAGCAACGGTGTGAGAGTGCTGTCAGCCAGATCCCATCCCATTCAACAAGGTGTCTTGATTTGAAAAACACACTGAACTAGATGCTGTGGAATACAGACAAAATTAGAGCATGACCTCTGTCCTCAAAGAGTTGACAGTCTTCTGGGGAAGACAAACAAGGGAAAAACAAACAGTACTATCAAGTAGAATTAAACAAGTGCATGAATTCAGGCAGAGGCAAAGGGTATGGGAGCACAGAGAAGGGAGTGCATAATTCTGCCATAAAAAGTCAAAGGAGACCACATGGAGAAAATTGAATTTGAGCTGGAGCCACAGAAAAGGAAAGAGAATATCTGAGGATGTGGCTAGAATGAGAGATTTATCCAAGGCACCATGGCGAGCTGTAGTTTAGAAGTAAATAAAGAAGGACTTTTAGAAGTAGAAATCAATAATTATTTATTCATTCGATTACAGAATATTACCTGAACCTCTATTACATGTCAGGCATTGAGGTGCTGAGGACATAAATAAAGCAGACTAGGCTCTGCCCTCATGGAGTTTATATTCTAGTGGGAGAAACAGAGAAGAAAGATATAGACAAGGTAAATAATCAAGGTAATTTAGTAAAATAAGCATGAAGAAAACTACTGTGGAAGCTGTAAGGGATAAATTTCCAAAATATATAAGGAATTCCTAAAACTCAATAGCAAAAAAAAAAAAAAAAAAAGCCAAAAAACAAACCTCACCCAGTTTTAAAGTGGGCAAAAACCTTGAATAGATATTTCTCCAAAGAAGACATACAAATGGCTAACAGATATATGAAAAGATGCTGAACATGGCTAATCATTAGGAAACAAAAATCAAAACCACACTGAGATATCACCTCACACCTGTTAGGATGTTAGGATGGCTGTTATTAAAAACAAAAGTGTTGATGAAGCTATGGAAAAATTAAAATACTTACACACTGTTGGTAGGAATGTAAAATGGTGCAGCTGCTACAGAAGACAGTATGGAAGTTCCTTAAAAAAATAAAAGTAGAACTACCGTATGATCCATCAATCCCTCTTCTGGATATATATCCAAAAGAATTGAGATCAGGATCTCAAAGAGATACCTTCACTCTCATGTTCATTGCAGCATTATTCGTAATAGCCAAAATATGGAAGCAACACAAAAGTCCATCGACAGATGAATGGATAAAGAAAATGTGGTATTGCCAGGCGCGGTGCTCATGCCTGTAATCTCAACACTTTGGGAGACCGAGATGGGTGGATCATGAGGTCAAGAGATCGAGACCATCCTGGCCAACATGGTGAAACCCTGTCTCTACTAAAAATACAAAAATTAGCTGGATGTGGTTGTGGGTGCCTGTAGTCCCAGCTACTCGGGAGGCTGAGGCAGGAGAATCACTTGAATTTGGGAGGCGGAGGTTGCAGTGAGCCAAGATCGCACCACTGCACTCCAGCCTGGGTGACAGATCGAGACTCCATCTCAAAAAAAAAAAAAAAAAAAAAAGAAAGAAACAAAGAAAAAAGAAAATGTCTTCTGCTCATACAATGGAATATTATTTAGCCTTAAAAAAAGAAAAAATCCTGATATTTGTTACAACATGGATGGATCTGGAAGACATTATGCTAGGTGAAATAAGTCAGCTACAGAAAGACAAACACTACATGATTCCCCTTATATGAGGCATCTAAAATAGTCAAAGAAATAGAGTAGCAGTTAAATTTCAGAGTTTAAAAAAGAAGAGCCAGCAAAGAATATGAAGGAAGAGAAGAAAAACCATAAGAGTTGTCCTGTCACACAAGCTGAGATGAATAGTGTTTTGCAAAGGAGAGGATGGCTCCTTAGTCAAATGCTTCTGATGAAAGAAGAAAGAGGAGGAGGAGGAGGAAGAAGAGGAGATGGAGAAGGAGAAGGAGAAAAAGAGGAAGAGGAAGAAGAGGAAGAAAGAAGGAGAAGAAGGAGAAGAAGGAGGAGGAGAGGAGGAGGAAGGAGGAGGAGGATGAAGGAGGAGGAGGAGGAGGAAGGTCTTTCAACGACAAGGATGATCTTAGTAAGAGTACTTTCAGTGAAGCTGTGGGGACAGATATGTGGTTAGAGTTTGTTGTCCTGCCTGGACTAATTGTTGAGGGACCTTGCCTGGATGTGGCTGGGGCGTTCTGTGTGATCTGACATCACACATTTGGAGAGAAGTGGGAATAGACAGGAGAGATTCAGAAAGGAAAAGGGACATCTGAGAGCCCACAGTGAGTTTGTGCTAGACTGGACTGGGCCGCAGGTGCCTGGATTCTCCTGTCCAATGTTCTGCTTCACTCCATTGACTGGACTTCCATTCTAGAGTCAAATTCATTTCCACCTTTTCTGTAAGGCTGTGACCATTACAACACCCAATCCCAGCCTGAATTCAGCCACGAATCTCCCCAGATTGGGCCAGTTCCTAAAGATGCCTATCCAATTGCCAAATCAAACTCTCATTCCAACCACACCTACTATTCAGCTCCTGGGAACTTCCTGCCTCCCTCTGAGGCCTCACCTTCCTCATGACACTCCAGCAGAACTGAGCTCTTTGTAGTTCCCTAGACATTATTTACATCTCCTTACCTTTGACCATGCTGTGTCTTCTGCAGGGAATCCCTTGCTCTGAATTCCTATCAACATACATGCCTATCTGTGTACACACACACACACTTCTCTCCAGCTTGCTTTTCACTCAATCTTGTGTCTTTTTTTATTTTATTATGATTATTTTTTTTTTCCGAGAAGGAGTCTTGCTCTGTCGCCCAGGCTGGAGTGCAGTGGTGCGATGTCGGCTCACTGCAAGCTCAACCTCCCAGGTTCATGCCATTCTCCTGCCTCAGCCTCCCGAGTAGGTGGGACTACAGGCGCCCGCCACCACGACCGGCTAATTTTTTTTTGTATTTTTAGTAGAGATGGAGTTTCACCGTGTTAGCCAGAATGATCTCGATCTCCTGACCTCATGTTCCACCCGCCTTGGCCTCCCAAAGTGCTGGGATTACAGGCATGAGCCACCGCGCCCAGTCAATCTTGTGTCATTTTGATATGACTCTAATTTGTTTCTTTCAATGGTTTCAAAATATTCTTTGATGTGATTGAGCCACAATTTATTCCACCAGTCCCCTACCAATGAGGATTTATGGTATGCACACTGCCCTGCAGTCTTCCATGAACAATGGTACAGTAAACATCCTAGTACAGATGTGTTACATACTAGCGCATTTGGAAGGGTCTTCTTCCCCTGGCACACTCCTCGAAAGCTGGATAGAGGATCACTGCTTCTGAAAAACTCATCACCGATTACCCAGAAAGAGTGAATTCCTCCTTCCTCTAAGCCTCCTTAATCCCAGGTGCTAGAGCATTTTCAGGGGTATGTCAAAGCTTCTGGTAAGCTCCTCCAGGATAGGAACAGCGTTATCCATCTCTGAAGCCCCTGAGTCTAGCATTGCGTCTGCCACAACATGTATGTCCAATATGTATGTGTTGAGTTTAATTGCAAAGAATTTGAGCTTTGAAACCATACTGATTAGACTTCAAATTGTCGTGGTTCTGTCACCAGCCTCTGAGCTTTGTTTTCTCACCTGTAAAGGGGAAGAATAATTCCCAAGTGTGCATGGTTCTCAGAAGGATGTGATGACATCATGTAGAGCTGGCCGCACAAGGCCTGTCACGTGGGTGCCATTTGAAAATGGAAGCTGTTGGCTGGGCACAGTGGCTCACGCCTGTAATCCCAGCACTTTGGGAGGCCGAGGTGGGCAGATCACAAGATCAAGAGATTGAGACCATCCTGGCTAACACGGTGAAACCCCGTCTCTACTAAAAAAAAAAAAAACAAAAAATTAACCGGGAGTGGTGGTGGGTGCCTGTAGTCCCAGCTACTCGGGGGGCTAAGGCAGGAGAATGGCGTGAACCCAGGAGGTGGAGTTTGCATGAGCCAAGATCGTGCCACTGCATTCCAGCCTGGGCAACGGAGCGAGACTCTGTCAAAAAAAAAAAAAAAAAAAAAAAAAAAAAGAAAGAAAAGAAAAGAAAGAAAATGGAAGCTGTTATGATTGGTGTTTGTCTGGAGAAGGAGGCTACACTGAGACTTTGCACTGGCACAGGGCCCTGTCCACACACCTCCGGGCTTCTGCAGATAGGGAAACTCCCTAGGACAAGCTGGCAGTTCTGACAAATGCCCAGATAAATCTTGCTGGTGCCAAGCTGTCTGGGACCTGTTGCCTCTGCCCAGCTCCTTCCAAATACCCAGGCCCTTCCCTGATGAGATGACTGGCTTCCAGCCCTGGGATACGCCTTAATGAACCAGCATTGTGGACATCACCCAGAACTTCTCTGCAAGTGGACACACTGTGAAGGCAGGAGGCTTGATGAAAGACAGTATTTCTTTCAATATGCGTGCTCAAGGGCAGGGGCTGGGAGGGCTCCTCAGGGGAGATCTTGGGCCAGTATCATCTGAGATACCTTTCAGGTAGTCTTCATCCTCAGAGTTCATCCTGGGGCTGGAAGAGTGCTCTGGACCACTGGATAGGGGATTGACCACACAATGACAGTTTGGATGAGAGCTGAACAATGTCTTCAAGACAGATATTTCCTCCAGTTCACCTGTGGTCCTCATGCAACAACAACCAGCAGGACACCTGGGCTCTGATTAGGTTTCTGGCCATCATGGGGCTCCTAGGGCAAAGGGGAAATTCTTCCCCCTCACTGGGTCCCTGTCTGTGATCTCGCCTCCCGCTCACCACTTGCTAGCTCAGGGAGACTTTCATCAAGTTTGCAGTGAGAAGAAAAACAACAAAAGCAGGCAACTGAATCTGTCAGCCTTCATGCAGCTTAGCTGGCTTTTAGCTTAATAATCAGAAAAGTGGCACCTTTGATTTCAGATTCCATAGTAACTTCCTTCCCCCAGAGCAGTGACTCATCTCTCTAGAGGGTACCCTTGGGTGAAAGAGAAGAAACGTGTTACTCTGGGGCTGGGGTGGGGTGCAGAGTTGCAGGAGGCACTTTTTAATAACGTCTCCAGCATCAGCCCAGCACACCAGATGCCAGCTGTTCTCCCAGTGTCTCCAGAATCACCCCAACCTAAGATGCCATGTCCCAGGCAGCTGAACAATAGCCCTAGGTTGCTGCACTCTGATTCCAGGAGAGGATGTGGCAAGCACCTGCTCCTGGCTCTCCCTTCTCAGATTTGGTGGTGGTTTTGAAAAGACACTAAGCAGGGACAGGGTTGTGTTAGGTGAGGGTATTTTGTCAGGTCTGGAAGATATATGACAAGGCTTGCAGGTGGATGGTAAATTAACAAACCCACAAGATGATACTTCCTGCTGACTGTCCAGCCAGGTCAGGGGCCAAAGAAAGTTCTCCGGCCCATTTGGACTCTTACCAAGCCTAGAGGCCTCCTGGGACATTGCAGAGTTTTCTCTCTACCCTTAGTTTCTGTTTCAACCACATTTGTTTCTTCCATGAAACAAGAGCTCAGACTAGAGGGAAAGTGGCCTTAGATTCAGACAGAACTTTGTTCAGTCTTTGGCCCGGCACAGCTGAGGTGTGTGACAAGGGGTACATCTGTTACCTCTCTGAGTCTCAGTTTCTGCATGAGTCCAACTATAATCATATCAGGATCTCCTCCATAGGGTTTCTGTGATGATTAGATGAGATAATGGATATAAAGCGCCTGCAAGTTTTGGTGTCTGGTACACGTTAACGTATCAATCTAAGCTAGTGATGATACCCATGCTGATGATGACAATGAAAGTTATTAAGCCATCATGGTGTATTGCCTTGTTTATCATCTAGGGCGTGTACTTTACATACCTATGTGTGCATACATATGCCATTATCCCTCTTCTCTCCATTCTGGTCATCTGCACCATCTTAGACACCCTTTGATCAAAAGGAATGATGAAACCAGAGTGACGTTTCTGTGACATATCAAAGGGATCCAATTATCCCATTTCACTGATTGGAATGGTAAATCCTCCCAATCCTGTACCTGTAGCCACCATCATTTTCCCATTCAACAAACATTTTCTGTGCATCTCCTGTGTGTCAGGCATTATTCTAGCAACTGGTAGCACTGATAGGCATTACCTGTAGCAACAAAAGAGAGCAACAGAAGCAAAGCCCCTTCCCTCATGACATGAACATTCTGGTGGCAGATTTGCATGAGAAATATGCAGGCCAGAGTCCAGTCTTTCTATCAGAACCACTATCTTCACTGGAACATCGCTTTCCCAGGTGCCTCCCCACCCCAATTCCAACTCCAGAACCATCCCTCAGGGACAGACAAGACTGGCTGCAGAAATGGCTTCCCCAAAGCTGGAAGGGTGCAATTCACAGCTTGGAAAACAATCTCAGTCTCTGCTAAACCAGAAACCTGGCATCACCTTTGACCTCTCCTTCTCCCTCTCCTACTCTACCCATATCTAGGCTGCCCTCCATCTGGGTCCCCTCCCGCCCAGCACTCATCCCCTGTGCCACTATCCACACTCTCACCCTTGCCATCTCTTGCCTGGGTTTCAGCAACAGCCTCCCCGCCTTTATCCCCTTTGAGTCCAACTCCCACAGAGTAGCCACACCTCCACAGAGTAGCTCATATGCAATCGTGCCACTCTGGAGCTCCATACCCATCAGGGCTCCCAGGAGATGATTTTGCCCCCAGGAGAAAGCCTATACTCCTCAGCACTGTCCTGCACATCAGAGCCACGCTCATTTCTCTGGCATCACCTCATTTGGGGAAACTTACATATGGTAAAACCTTCAGCTGTATTGAACTCTTGGAACTCACCATCTTTCTCTCATCCCTAAGCCTTTGCACGTACAAATCCTTCTGTCTAGAATACGCCCTCTGCCCCTCCTTCATCCTACTAAGCCCAACTCATCTTTGAACTCTCAGCTTAAATGTTGCTTCTTCGAGAAAGCCATCCCTGGCTCTTCAAGTCCTGATGGGGTACCCTCCTGGGAACTCCCATGGCTGCCAACCTTCCACTATCATGGCACTATGTCAGATCTGCCTGTTGGCTTGTCTGCCTTCCCTAGTACACAGTGAGCTTCTTGAAATCTTTTGTTTATTGTGCCTGAAACATGGAAGACAGGCTTGGTCGTTTCATCCATGAGCAATGACCGAACGGCCCATGCTCTGCATCAAGACCCACAGTGGGGAGGGTCCTGCTCAGCTGTGTTGGGGGCAACCCTTGACTCCTGTTGCTGGGTCCCTCTCTGGGGGAGGAGATAGTGAGAAGGAGAAGCTGCCTCCCTCTTCATTTCTGACACAACACCCTATATGTGGGAACCTCCCCTCTTCCCTCTTCCCCACAGCTCCATAGAGCATCCCCCTTTTCAAAGCATGACCACCTTTGCCAAAGAACATCCTACGTACCCTTAATCCCAAGAAACCTACTTCATCCTGCTGAACCTACTCTACTTCTTAGGAGGCGAAAGGAAGAGTTATTGTTTTGTGTTTTTCTCAACACCCAGAAAGGAATCCACATCAGATTCTGCCCTGAGATCCATTTTTTCCCACTTGAACCCCATCTGGGGCCCTCCAAAGGGGATTGGGCTTCGTCCTAACCAGGTGCCAGCCCTGGTAAAACAACAGCCACTTCTTTCTGCCCACATCAGTGTCAGTGGCCAACCAATCCATGTCCCAATGGGAGGCGACTATCCACAAAGCTCTCTTTCTCTCGCCACTTCTGCATTATATAGAATTCCCAGGGAGGGGCCTGGGTCTGTCTTCTTGACCAAGGCCAAGGGGCTCCCCAGGCCCCACCCAGTTTCCCAATGTGGGAACCACCCCAGCTGGCCGCCTCCCCAGCTCACAGGCTGCAGGGAGAAAGAAAGGGCTGTTGAGAGTGATTCTGGGTTCCCACGCAGGAAGGTGCCAGCTCAAGACAGCGTGGCTTTGTGCTTGGGAGAGTCTGTCTTCTCACCAGGCGGAGGGACATAGCAGCCTGTGGAGAGATCAGAGAGATAGCAAAGGATGGCGGGGCCATCCCTGCCCCAAGCAGCAGGAACATTGGAAGCACACGCCTGCCCTAGGGGAGAAGACGCCTGACTCCAGACTTAGCGCTGAGACTTCTCCAAGACAATCCATTTCTCTGCAGCCCCACACATCAGTTTCTTTACGTTGATGACTGCTCACTGAGAAAATAGCTCCAAACCAAAACATACCATGCATCTTAATTTTATTCCTCATCTACATATGTTTATTTTATTTTATTTTTTGCCAGATAGTCTATGTTTGCATTTTATTTTTACATGTATTTAAAGATGGATCAGTACTGTATAGATGGACCCAAGGATGGGCAAGACATTGTGTATTAATAGGGCTATGCAGACCTTTTTTTAATAAATGCAGCTCCCTGGGGATCTACAGATGTTCTTCATCTTCCATCACTAGTGAAAGGACACATCCAGCCTGCTGGCCATGATGGATGGGGGAGGAAGAGCAAAGGAGGGTAGAAAGTCTCTCATAGTTGTTTAGACTCTCTTCATTATGACTTTTCTCTGTAACAACTGCTGCTCTCCAGAATTTAGGGCTCAAAGCCCTGGAAAGTTCCCAATTTGAATGGAACCATGGATGCTGACAACTTGTGAGGGACACTTGAGATCATCCAATCCAACAAGCTCTGGAGAACAAATGTGACTCCGCATACACTAAACGTGTGTGTGTGTACCTGTGTGAGAGCGTGTGTGTGCACCTTTGTGAGAGCATGTGTGTGCACCTGTGTCACAGCGTGTGTGTGTACCTGTGTGAGAGCATGTGTGTGTGCACCTGTGTGACAGTGTGTGTGCACCTGTGTGATAGCATGTGTGTGTACCTGTGAGAGCATGTGTGTGCACCTGTGTGACAGCGTGTGTGTACCTGTGTGAGAGCGTGTGTGACAGCGTGTGTGCATCTGTGTGAGAGCGTCTGTGTATACCTGTGTGAGAGCGTGTGTGCACCTGTATGACAGCGTGTGTGTGTGCACTTGTTTGAGAGCATGTGTGTGTGTGTGCACCTGCGTGAGAGCGTGTGTATGTGTAGCTGTGTGAGAGCGTGTGTGCACCTGTGCGACAGCATGTGTGTGTAAGTGTGGGTGTGTCTGTGTGTGTGAGGGAGGGTGTGTTTTTAGGTGGATGTGTGAGTATGTATGTGAGATGAGTGTGAGAGGATGCGGGTGAGTGTGCAGGTGAGTGTGAGGAAGTAAGAGTGAGTGTGGGTGTGGATGGGTGTGTGTATGTGACAGGAGGTGTGTGAATGTGTGCGTGTCTGTGAGCATGGGTGGGAGTGTAAGTGTGTAAGAGTGCATGTCAATGCATGTGTGTGTGTGAAAATGGGCGGGTTTTGTAGAGAATGGAAAGAAGATCTAGTGAGGATCCCTAGCACCCTAACCCGTGCACCCCAAAAACCTCTGTAAACGAAAAAAAGCTTTGAAAACAACTGAGCTAGTTCAAGCTGATTTAACATCATCACTTGACAGATATGTAAACTGAAACCCACTGAAGAAAGAGATGTGCCAAATAGCCTTATGGTGCCAGGGCTAGAATCCGCGTCTCTTGACTTCCACCCGGTCCACCACACTTTGCTCCGTTGTCAATAGAATTGCTCTTGCTATTCCTGAACACCGTAGTGGTCACCTAGGGGTGTGCTGTCAGCGCTGCCTTTTTAGGAAGGGGGGAATCCCCCCATGCCCTCCTACTCACCACGTCCCACACTTACCTCATTACTCCAGACATTCATCTCATCACTTACGATAAAAGTAGCACATGCTCGTTATATACAATCCACATAGCCACATTCTGCAAGAACAGTTCTTTTGCACAGCATGCTTCCTGGCAATGACTGATAGGTCTCTAGGAAGAGCAGCTGAACCAAGATTGGCCAGTTAGAGCTCTTCCCTGAGAGTCCTCACAACACAGTGAAGAAAGGGAGTCATCCCTCTTCAATGCCTAATGCTGTAAGATACAAAACTCACCTTGTGGAAGAAGCCACAAAGCCACCATAACAAAGACTGAATCCAAACGATAGAGAAGTAGGGTTAAAAGACAGCAGAGGATCCCTCTTTCCAGCTTTTCAGAGACCCAGCGTCATCTCTGGTCTTGCTGTAACTTGAATGTTTAGTCCTCTCTCTGTTTTGTGCTTATATTAATTAATTAAGCAGGATCTTTTCCCCCCTATAGCCTAAAGCCAAAATATACCAGTGTAATCAGATTCCCTCAGACTTTTTTGCATCCACTCCTCAAATCTCTATTCTCCTTTTTATGAAATGTATTTTACTATAATATAAAAATCAATGCATGTGAGGGAGATATATCTAGTTCTAATTTCTATATTGGGAACAAGAGAACTTAGAAGCGTATAAGTTAGGGGAAAAGATGGAAATAAAACAAATCTCATTACCAATCCTGAAATCTTTCCAAGAAGCCGTGATGATGTATATTAAATGGTATAAGTAACAGAGGCCCAAAATAATATTCCTTAAACATGATACAAGTTTAATTTTCTTATGCAGTGAAGTCCAGAAGTAAGCAGTCTGGGGCTAGTATAATGACACTGTTCCATGAAGACCTCAGGGAGTCAAGCTCCTTCTAGCTTGTTGCTTTCATTGCATTCTCAGTTTTCTTATCTGAAAAGTACAGGTATTGCTATACCTGCCTCATGGCCCAAGATGGCTGCCCTATCCTGCCATCCAATTTGCATTTCATCCAACAGAAAGAAAAAAAGGATGAAGAAGAAGGGAGAGAATGTGTCAGCTCCCCTTTAAGGAAGTCTCCCAGCAGTTATCAGATGACACTTCCACTTAAATCTTACCAGAACATAATCATATGGTCACAACTAATTTGAAAACAGTCTGGAATATACAGCTTTGACTCTGGACAACCATGTATAAAACTACAAATTAGGAGTTCTTTAACCTTGGAACAAGGGAGAATGGGCATTAGAGAACAACGTGCCCACCACTGCTGTCACTGTTACGCTCTCTTCTTTTACAGATTCTGCCATCTTTCTAGTGGTTACTCCAACTGTAGCAAATGACAGCCGTTCTCTTTTCTCTGATGCCTAATTTGCATACACCAGTGTTTATGACTCCAGACTAGAGAAACTAGGGTGTAGAGCTAGAGAGAATAAAATGAGCCTCACTTGGAGGTTGGGACCAAAGGGATCTGTTGGAGAATTCAGGAACAGACCATGTGGTTCCATTTTTCTCTTCCCCAAAGATTTTTGGCTCTAATCCTCACCAACCTGCTGGCCCATAAGGAATGACAAGCTAGAAAGCTCCCCCAACACACACCTCCCATCCCTATTTTATTAGAGAAAAATATCTCCTGACAGGATATCAGAGCATTCAGCATAATTTTTGGAGGCAGTAAAGGGTGTAGTTAAAGGACTAGCCTTAGTGTCTAAGAACCCGGTTTCAAATCCCAGATCTACAAGCCTAGGGAAATTACTTAGCCTATGACTCAGTTTCTGTATCTGCAAAATATAGATTTACATACCTGCCTCATAGGATTTTTGAGAAATTATAAAAGGTAACCTAAGTCAGGCACATAATAGTAAGAGCTTAATAAATGTCAACTGTTTTTATTCAATGTCTCCTTTGTTCCAGGGCCCTGCTAAGAATGTAGCAAATGCAAGGGTGAGTTTGTGAAATCATGTGGCTCCTAGAACACAGGGCACCATGAGCCTGGGCCCACTCTGGATCCTAAGGGGAGTTTCAGCAGCAGCAATCTGAACACTGGGGCCTTTCATGGGGCAGATGGCAGGTCCAGGAGTGCACGGGGACAATGTGAAGCTAAAAGCCAACCTCTCCTCCTTCTCCCTGCCCTCATCCCCAGATAGACTCACTGGAAGCATTTTTGTGTAGCATGCATTACATTTGGGCAGCCCTAATTCCATGCTGTTTGTCCCTTTACATCAGTTCTGCAATGGGATTGCTGGCTCCTTGAAATACCTGCAGCTTCCAACAACAACAACAAAGGAAGAAGGGAAGGCAGGAGTGGAGGAAGGAGGAGGAAGGAAGAGGGGAAGGAGAAGGAGAAGGAGAAAGGAAGGAAAGGAGTGAAGGGAGGAGGGAGGGGGAAATGAGGGAAGTGAGGAGAAACAAAACTGATTGTCATTTTCACTGAAAAGTTAATAACAATGTAACAATTTCTCATCCACAGGAAGAGGGGAAAGAGAAGGGGAAAGGAGTGAAGGAAGGGGGGGTGGAAATGAGGGAAGTGAGGAGAAACAAAACCGATTGTCATTTTCATTGAAAAGATAATTATGTAACAATTTCTCATCCACAGTTTCTTTTAACACTTCTAAACAATTGATTACTTTTAAAGTAAAACCTAATTTACACTCTTCATGTATACTTTCTACTTCTGCATCTATGAGGTGATTTTTCAAACATTTATATCACTCCTTGTGGTAAAAGTGTCCTTGTATACAATTCAAACACTGTGAAGGAGCATAAAGTAAAGAACAACCAAGCTGGGCACGGTGGCTCACACCTGTAATCCCAGCACTTTGGGAGGCTGAGTCAGGCGGATCAGGTCAGGAGATGGAGACCATCCTGGCTAACAGGGTGAAACCCCGTCTCTACTAAAAATACAAAAAAATTAGCTGGGCACGGTGGTAGGCACCTGTAGTCCCAGCTACTCGGGAGGCTGAGGCAAGAGAATGGCATGAACCCGGGCGGACTTGCAGTGGGCAGAGATGGCGCCACTGCATTCCAGCCTGGGCGACAGAGCGACACTCCGTCTCAAAAAAAAAAAAAAAAAGAAAGAAAGAAAGAAAAGTGATCTCCTCTTGGAAGCCTTCCCCGATCCTCTTCTTTCCCGACCTTGACTGACTGACTTTTCCAAAAACCTAAGCGAAATGCAGAAGGAGAGCTCTCTTATATGATGCCTTATGGAGATAAAAATGAACACATACTAAAGTATACAGTGGTATGGATTTGGAAGGCAACCCAGCAATTTAGCAAATAAAAATGTGCATCCCCTTTGACCCAGCAACCCACTTTAAGGAACTTGACCTACCCAAAAACCTAAGCAAGTGCGCAAAGACGGTGTGCCAAGACTTTGCAATACTTTTGTGTGATCAGCAGGGACTGGTTTAATAAACTTTAGTACTATAGGCTACTCCATGCTGATAGAAAAATATGTCAAGATATTTGTCATCTTGAAAAAAACTAAGTGTCAAATGATATACATAGTATGATCCCTTCAGTCTTACAGAAAGCATGATGGAAGGAAAGAGAGAATAAAGAAAGGGGAAAAGGGAGGGAGGGAAGGAGGAAGGAATGAAAGAAGGAAGCAAGGGAGGAAGGGAGTGAGTGAGTGAGGAAGAAGGAATGGAGAAGAAAGAAAGGGAGGAAAGGAGTGAGCGAGTGAGGGAGAAGGAATGAAAGAAGGAAGGAAGGAAGGGAGGAAGGAAGGAAGAGAGATTGTATGTTACCCTGAGATTTGGTTCTAAAGTCTGTGAATAAAACAAAAAGGGGCATAATTTAGCAGGGTTTCACTGTGTTAGCCAGGATGGTCTTGATCTCCTGACCTTGTGTTCCGTGAGGAGATCACTTTTCAACCAGACCTTGAAGGATGGCATGGTATTCAGAGAAACAGACAAAGGACATTCCAGGTAGAGGCTGGAATATGGAGTCAAAGACATTCATGGAGCTTGGTCGAGGTGGGGAGGTGGTTCATTATTCCTTGGTAAATCCTTGGCCATCACGTTACCTAGACCACAGCCCACCGCAAGGCAGGCTTAGATATTTGAACAAAATACATCAAGACAGACAAATAAGCAATTACATTCCAACAGGGGGAAACAGACAATGAACAGAAAATAAAGTCAACTGGATGGCATGTTAGATGGAGATAAGTGTTATGGGGAATAAAAATCAGGGATGGGAGATGGGGAATGTGCATGGGGAGCAGAAGGGGCCACCGTGTTAAACAAGGTGACCAGAGAAGGCCTCATGAGAGGGGTTACATCTGATAATGACCCATAGCAGGTGAAGGAAGGAGCCTTCCAGATTCCTGGGGAAAGAGCATTCCAGGGAGAGGGCCAGCAAGGACGAAGGGCCTGAGGTGGGAGAGTCCTCAGTGAGTTGGAGAAAGAGCAAGGTGGCCACATGGCCAGAGCAGAGTGAGAGAGGGGACAAAGGGGACAAGAGAGCTGAAGTCCTAAGGCCCTGGTGCTGAATGCCTGAAGGTGTCAGGCTCTGTGGCTTGTTTGGATTGTTTGGTTTGGGTTATTCTTTAGAGTAAGATGAGAAACTATTGAGAGGTTTTGAATAGAGGAGTGACACACTCCGACATGTGGTTCAAGGAGACCCTTCTGGGTAAAAGAGAGATGAGGACCAAAATGAGACCAATTCAAAGATTACTGGCATAATGCAGGTGATTTGGGCCAAGGTGAAGCAGTAATGGTGGAGGAAAATGACCATATTCTGAATGTATTTTGAAGGTAGAGGCTTTAGGATTTGCTCATGGATTGGGTGTGAGGTGTGAAAGATGAGAAAGCATCGAGAGAGCCGCAGGGTTTTGACCTGATGCTGCCATTAACTGAAGTAGGACTTAGTTTGGAGCTGGGGGAGAGATTCAAGGGCTCAGTTACAGATATAGTGTGTGATTTCGTTGGACATCAGAGTGCAGATGTCAAGAAAGCAGTTAGACATGTTAGAACAAATTCAGGGAGAGGTCAGGGCTAGAAGTATAAACAGATGAGTAATCAGCATATAGATAGTGTTAAGAGTCATTAGGCTACATGAGGTTACTAAAGGAATGAGTATGGACAGAAAAAGAGAAAAGGTCTGAGAGCTGACCCCTGAGACACTTCACTGATACAAAGTCAGGAAGGTAGAGGGGAATCTGTGATGGCGACTAAGGGAGGGCAGCCAGCAAGGTAGGAGGTTGGGTCCTAAAGGCCAAAACACACAAGTGTTTGACAGAAGAGCGCGTGATTAAATTCTGCTGCTAAAAATTCGCGATTGCAAAAATATGGAACCAGCCCAAATGCCTATTAATCAATGAAATTAATGGATAAAAATCTGTGATATATGTGAGACATATATATATATATATATATACACACACTGTGGCATACTACTCAGCCATAAGAAGGAATAAAATAATGGTATTTGCACCAACCTGGATGGAATTGGAAACCATTATTCTAAATGAAGTAACTCAGGAATAGAAAACCAAACATCATATGTTCCTCACTCATCAGTAGGAGCTAGGCTATGAGGATGCCAAGGCATAATAAGGAGGATACAATGGGCCAGGTGTGGTGGCTCACACCTGTAATCCTAGTACTTTGGGAGGCCAAGGTGGGTGGATCACCTGAGGCCAGGAGTTCAAGACCAGCCTGGCCAACATGGCAAAACCCTGTCTCTATTAAAAATACAAAAATTAGCTAGGCGTGGTGGAACATGCCTGTAGTCCCAGGTATGTGGGAGGCTGAGACATGAGAATCCCTTGAACCAGGAGGCAGAGGTTGTGGTGAGCCGGGATGGCACCACTGCACTCTAACCTGGGTGACAGAACAGGCTCTGCCCCAAAAAAAAAAAAAAAAAAAAAAAAAAGAATTATACATTATACAATGGACTTTGGGGATTCGGGAGGAAAGGGTGGGAGGGGTTGAGGGATAAAAGACTACAAATTAGGCTGGGTGCAGTGGTTCACGCCTGTAATCCCAGCACTTTGGGAGGTGGAGGCGGGCAGATTGGGAGGCCGAGGCGGGCAGATTATGAGGTTAGGAGATCGAGACCATCCTGGCTAACACAGTGAAACCCTGTCTCTACTAAAAACACAAAAAATTAGCCGGGCTTGGCGGCGGGCGCATGTAGTCCCAGCTACAAGGGAGGCTGAGGCAGGAGAATGGCATGAACCCAGGAGGCGGAGCTTGCAGTGAGCCGAGATCGCACCACTGCACTCCAGCCTGGGCGACAGAGCGAGACTCTGTCAAAAAAAAAAAAAAAAAAAAAAAAAAGCGACCAATTGAGTACAGTGTATGCTGCTCGAGTGACAGGTGCACCAAAATCTCAGATATCACCACTAAAGGACTCATTCATGTAACCAGACACCTCCTGTTCCCCAAAAACCTATGGAAATAAAAAATAATAAATAAATAAATAAATGCTGCTGTTAGGTCAAGAAAGACAAGGACTAAAACACCGACCACTAGATTTTCCCCTGAAAACTATTTATTACTTTTAACCAAGTGCTGGCCAAGTCTCCCTGGCCTTGGATGGAAGGCATATCAATTGCACATCATCAGCCAAGTACTGATTGGATGGTTTCAATTGCAAAGGGGAAATCTTATCTCCAAGTCATAAGGTGGGATTTCTGACAGAAGGAAGAGCACACATTAGGTGAAGAATGCTAGACTAGGAAGGAATGGAGTCAGATGGCATGGGCACCAGTCTTGGTTTATCTACTTGCTCCCTGTGTGACCTTAAGACTCCCTGTAGCTCTTACCATCTTCACATACAATATGATGGGTGGTGAGCAGAGCAGGGTTCTCTGAGAGACTTTTCATAGTCTCTTCTCAAGTCTAAAATTCAAAGACATTTCCCTATCTTAGTCAGGGATGGCTACATAATTTGCAGGATCCCTTTTTCAAAATGTGCAGTGTGGGGGGGGAATGCTGTTAAAGATACTAAATATAAAGCTTTTTCTTTCCTTCCACTATCTCTCTCTTGACTTGTCATAATGCTGTTTTAATTGCTATTTAATATCATTCTAGGTAAAATAAATAAATGAAATTTTACATTATTCACGTGGATTTTACCATTTACTTTTACATTGTGCAATGCAAAATTTTAAATGCAAATATGAAAACATTGAACTCATAAGCAGAATCAATAAAATTACACAATTCATATTTCATAGTTCCTACATGCTGTATTAGTCAGTTCCCACACTGCTAATAAAGACATACCCGAGACTGGGTAACTTATAAAGAAAAAGAGGTTTAGGCTGGGCGTGGTGGCTCATGCCTGTAATCCCAGCACTTTGGGAGGCCGAGGCAGGTGGATCACGAGGTCAGGAGATCGAGACCATGCTGGCTAACACGGTGAAACCCCGTCTCTACTAAAAATACAAAAAATTAGCCGGGCGTGGTGGTGGGTGCCTATACTCCCAGCTATTCGGGCGGCTGAGGCAGGAGAATGGCGTGAACCCGGGAGGCGGAGCTTGCAGTGAGCCAAGATGGCGCCACTGCACTCCAGCCTGGGCGACAGAGTGAGACTCAAAAAAAAAAAAAAAGAGAAGAAAAGAAAAGAAAAACAAGTTGAATGGGCTTACAGTTTCACATGGCTGGGGAGGCCTCACAATCATGGCAGAAGGCGAAAGGCACGTCTTACATGGCGGCAGCAAGAGAAAATGAGAGCCAAGCGAAAGGGGTTTCCTCTTACACAACCATGCTACACAAAACTAACTCAACTGTTTTTATTTCACTTCTGGATGCACACACATTCTTCCAACCCCCTCTACTTGAGGCTTACTGTTGAGTAAGTAAGGACTAAAAGAAAAGTGAACTATGAATTGGCCTACCTTTTTCTTTTTTTCTGTGTCATCATATTCAGTATAAATTATTGGCTAGTAAGAAGGAACATGAGGGAATCTCTTGGTTGGTTGTTTGCTTTTCTCAGAAAGTGATTGTCTTCCTCATCTGTAAAATGGGGATACTTTGTAAGGCAATTTTAAAACAGAAAATTCATCTATCCACTCATGTAATTCTATACCACGCACAGTGCTTGGAACACATATGTGGTCAGTAAATATTTTAAGTGCTAAGAATTCAGTGTGGCTCAAGTTGGGAGGATGCTGAGGTACATAATAAAAATAACAGCTCAGCAGTAATTGAGTATTTATTATGTGCCAGGCATTGTGTTAATGCTATTGTATTAACTCATTTCCTCTTAATGACAGCCTTATGAAGTAGGTATTTTTATTACCCCCATTTTACAGATGAGGAACTTGGAAAGGTCAGTAACTTGGCCAAAGACCCGTAGCCAGTTAAGTGGCATATCTGGGAGTCAGGCCCAGGTCAATAAGATGCCAAAGCATGTGCTTTGGAACACTGACTATATTGGTCCCATAGTTACTTGGTAATAAAATCAAAGTAGTCAAAGAGCTATGGAGGGAAATGATGAGTTCCATCTGGGGAATCCAAGAAAGGCACTGAGAAGGCAGCTGTATGTACACGTCTGTAGCTCAGGAATGATGAACAGACTATAGATAAGATTTGGGAGTCCTCAGCTGAATGATAGCCACTGAAACCGTGAACATGGATATGAGTTAAGATAAGACAGCCCTATAGAACTAAGGCATCTGAGAGCCAAGGGAGGAGAAAAGAATGCCGAAAAGGAGACGTTGCAGAGGTAGGAGTGGATGCATAGGGGGAATACCTGGAAACCTGTGGACATTAATTCACATGCTACAGAGATGACCAATCAGATGACAACTGCAAAAAGACCTTTAGATTTTGCACGTGTCCCCACAGATGACTCCGGGTAAAACAGACTCCCTAGACTGGTAGATAAGGGGAAAGGGACAATGGAGAGATTTATAACTAAACTTGGTATGACTTTTCATCTGTCACATTCCATGGAAAAAAATTATCCTTTGTCAAACTACATTTCCTGACTTGGAGGCTAAGAAAAGTCAGTCACTGCAGCAAGATGCAAGATGCAACTTGGCTGTGGACATTTGCCAAGCCACTTACGTCCCCTCTTGAGGCCTCAGTTTCCTCATCTGTACATAGAGTTATTGGATGAGACATACTCTAAGTTTTCTCCCAGATCCAAAATTCTATTCCCTTCCGTTCCAGATGCTCTTTGAGGATGTTGGTGTTGACAAGAAAGGTGGGGGGAAAGAGAAGGACCCTGCTTGACCGCGACAGGTCCCCTTGTATCCTGTTCCCTCTCCATCTTATTTTCTCCACAGTGCTCTAGGGCAGCTGTGGAGCCAATGATGAAAACCACATGTTTCTGGGCAGCCCTGCTGTTGCACAATGCCGCCAAGGGGAGGGCAAAAAAGAAAGAAAGAAAGAAAAAAAAGAAAGTAAGTAAGAAAGGAAAGAAAAGAGCTTTGGAATTCTCGGCTTCTACAGACAATTCCCCCATTGATGTGCTGTGAGTCACGGCGGGCCGCCAGGCCATCATGGTTTCTGAATCACTTCCTTCAAGAGGGGCTCTCCACTTGTTCCCGGGCTGACTTTGGCCAGGGCTGGAATGCAAGGAGATTGGACCCTTTGGAGTGGTTCTGACTGCCTTCCTCTTTGCTGGAGCCCCAGAGGGGAAGGTGGAGGTGCTAGGCAGCAGGGCGTAGGGGTCTGAATGGAATTGAAGACAGCAGAGAAGCAGGTTGGACCTGCTTGTCCCAATTGGTGGACCCAACTCATGCCCCTCTCTCTCCCTCTGTTAGAGAAGAAAATGATGTAAAAATCCCAGATTAAAGGCCAAAGTTTTCTCTGGTGGGCACTAGACTCAGCCAGATCCGGAATTTCTATCCTCTCCACCTTGACATCCTGGCTGATGTGGACAAGGTTGACACCTTTTGAGCAGAGATAGGTTAAAGTTGATCCCAGCCATGTCTCCAATGGCTCACATTAGGGAACCTTGAACGGCACTCTCAGTCTCCCATCTTGCAATTTCCATCTTTGAGGTCAAGGATGTTAATGGCCCAAGAAGCCCTCGCCTGGGTGGTGGTCCTTAGGTGAGAGTCTGTTTTAAGTTCTTGCTTAAAATAAGCTTCACTTTTTTTCGGCCAAGACCCTTAATCCTTGCTCTGGGCCAGACTCTGCGTAGGCACCATGGATCCCAAGAGGAAATAGACATGGCGCCAACTGGACAAAAGAGAATGACAGGTAAATAAGTAATGATGCAAATTTATCACCAAATGCAGACTTGGGGACAAGGGGAGCTCCAGAAGGCAGCCAGAAATGTTTGTTGGATGGAGCATTTAGCGCCATTTTCCTTTGCCCGACCACCATTCCTTCCCCGCCAGCCCCTTAACCCCAGAACTTTCCAGAAGATCAGTATGAATGGGCCCTGGATTAGAGAGGAAGTGGTCTCTTCCCTCCACCAACACAGGGTGCTGTTTCTCAATGACCCCAGCTGTTAGGGAATATGCTAGAATGCCGCCATCTGGTGGGCACACGGAGCCGTGTCCATTTCGCAACTTTGCTGCACCTGGGGCAAGTGTCAGAGACGCACTGACCTGGAAGCCATGCCCCAAAGAAACCAGGTTTGGCACGGCTACTTATTTGACTGAAGTTACAGGTGATGAGCAAAAGGAGCGCCTTTTAAGGAGTCCTCCTGACCACATTCAGCTGGCTGTCTCCCTTTAAGGAGGTGAACTTGGAGGAAAAGCTAGTTTAGAGCAGGCACCATATCTTCATCTTCTCTATGCCTCTCATAGCCTCTAGCAGCAGATCCAGGAGGTAATGGGTGCTCAATGCATGGATGTTCAATGGGATCAGTTACTGAATATGATCAGTGAGAATGATAGCAAGGGTTCTTTCTATCTTGCACCACCATATCCCTAGCACCATGCCTGACTCTACAAATATACATTGAACCATTGAATAAAATTAGACTCTCGGAAGTAAAGATTCTGGAAACAGCAAACATGATTTGCTGGAGGACAGTTTAGGTATTGCCTGTATTGTCTAGTACAGCCTCCTTCCTCTCAGATGCATCCCAGGGAGACACAGTGACTTCACCAAAGTCACACAGCCACTCTTTAGAACTGGGACTGGTGGGCGGGCCAACTTGCCACCTGGTTGCCTGGCAGAATCCAGGTTGCCTGCCCATGTATATATGAGAAACAAGACAGGCAGCAAAAAAAGTATGGAGGAGGCATTTGTCCAGGGTCACACCCAGTGGAAGAGCTTCCCACTAAGAATATCTGAAACACCTTTTCAAGGACTCTAATACTATCCTGTGCTCCTAGGGTGAAAAGGAACACCACCTAGTGCATTAAATAAAGAGGTAAAGAATGTCTAGCAATCCAAGGAAAACAGAGCCAAATGCAGTTACTGGGTGCACAGAATGTGATGTGGGAGGTACCAGTCATGTCACAGGTCCAGGTGGAGCTCTTGTCTCCCAGGAAGAGTTTGTGAAATAGTATAACCCATGTTCTGAAGTTGAGCTCCAGAGTGGGTGATGGTTACCCAGATGGAAGAAGCAATCTGGCTTACATGTAACAATAAAGGATCTGGCTGTCTCCCCAGCACACTCTTCGTGGCTTCATTCTCTCTCTCAATTTTCCCTCTTTCCTGTGCCACATGGACCTTTCTAACACTCTTCTGCTTAGACCATCAATGGCTCCCTATTGCTTCTTAGATAAAATCTAAATATCTTCCCTTATCATCACCCCACTCCAACTCTTTAGCTACATACTTCATCCCTTCCTGCTTAGCCCTTACTCACCTTGGTTACACTGTTAGGACGCCTGTCCCTCAAGTAGGTTCCAGTCCTGGCTTCACCACTTGCTCTCATTGTGACCTTAAGGAAATCACTTAATTCCCTGTGCCTTCATTTCCTCATCTATAAAATGGAGTTCATGCTAGCATCTACCAGACTGGGCTGTCGTGAGAATGGATTTGAGTTCAGTATGTGAAGTCCGAATAGCGCCTGTCATGTGGTATGCTCGCAATGTATGTTAGCAATCATTCCTGTTATTATCGCTACATATAACATGCTTCCTCACGCCCCCATCCTTTCACACATGTTCACTGTGCCTGAAATGTCCTTTCTCTGCCTTCTCCCTCAGATGGACAACAGCTCATTCTTCAAGCTCCAGCTCAACGTCCCTTTTTTAGCAGTAGGGGAAGTTAAGTGCACCCTCATCTTTGTACACATCCCGACCCCATGTTCACCCTAAATCCCATTGTCACCACGAACATCCTTACTCATCAAATGGGGGTGTAATAGCATCTGTTGATCATGGTACCTGCCTGAAATGCCTTATGGATGGGATGGGCGACTCCACAGTCATCCTGTAGCCTGTGTAAATTGCAAAGCCTTCAATGAGCGTGAGAGATGTGTATTTTTGCCATCATGGAAGGGCTGTTGGCTGTCCAGCTTCTAACCTGCCAAGGCAGGGTCAGCATGTCCCTCGCTGACCCAAGGCCCAGTCTCCAGGAGGACCCCTGCCTCTCACAGACACCAGCTCACTCTGCAGCCTGCTGGGCCACACTTGCTTCTCTCACCCATCCACCCGAAAGCGGGGTTGGGGGAAGTCAAACACCAGCTATGAGCACAGGGTGCTGCCAGCACAGCCTACCCAGGGATCTCCCACCTGCTCGTCACCGACCACCTTCCTTTGGTTTCTCCTGGGCTCTAGGGGTGTCTGCAGCCCCCCTGCCCTCACCCTAGGCTCTGCCTTTATTCTCCTTCTGCCTCACTTGGCCTGTTCACCGTAAGAATGGAGAGGTCTCCTCCCGACTCCCGGCCCACCCTCCTTTTTTCTCTCTCCTCCCCCTCAGCATGCTTTAACGTCCTCAAATCCATCCCAGAGGCTTTAACAAGGCTACCTTCATCCACTCATCAAGCACTGTGTGAGGCACTTACTCTCTGCAGGGCACTGAGGGAGATTCAGGATGAGTAAGATGCAAACACTGTCCTAGGAAGACAGGAGGGGAAAGAGAAGTGTTTGTTGAAGGTGCCAGCACAATGCCAGAGACTTAGGGTGGCAAGGGGAGAGAGGGTGAAGGTCTTCTGACATGGTCCTTGGCCATTCTCCACTGGGGGGCTGTAGGTCTGCACTTTGGTTGTGCCTGGCTGGCATGCATTGAGGAGGGGCTGGCCTGATCCTGTCCCAAGCATTCAGCTGATGAGTGACACTGGAGCCCAGTTCATGACTGCTGTGTCCTTTGAGCATAGGGAAGGCTCCGGAGAGCACAGTCTGCAGCCCTTCTTACCAAGCCCTGCCTTGTTCTCAGAATGATGCCACCCCCACTCTGCTCTGCCCGGGCAGCCTGAATGCGAGTAGCCCCTGGTTGAAGGCCATTTGGCCCTGGGGCAACAACCTTCCTTGGCCAGCACCCCTGTCTGAGTCTCAGCTAACTTCTGTGTCTCTCTCAGTGGCTTATGGGAGCCTCTGGTTCCCTTCCATGTCAGACAAGAAGTGAGGGTGGCTCGGGCCGGGCGCGGTGGCTCACGCCTATAATCCCAGCACTTTGGGAGGCTGAGGAGGGTGGATCACAATGTCAGTAGATCGAGACCATCCTGGCTAACATGGTGAAACCCCGTCTCTACTAAAAATACAAAAAATCAGCCGGGTGAGGTGGCAGGTGCCTGTAGTCCCAGCTACTCAGGAGGCTGAGACAGGAGAATGGCGTGAACCCGGGAGGTGGAGCTCGCAGTGAGCCAAGATCGCGCCACTGCACTCCAGCCTGGGTGACAGAGCAAGACTCCGTCTCAAAAAGAAAAAAAAGAAAAGAGAAGTGAGGGTGGCTCAGGAGGGCAAATGCAGAGTCTCTCAGGCTGAGACTGATGCTGAGTAGGTAGGGAGGGGGATGCCTGGGAGGGGATCTCTTCCCAGAATTCCAAGCCAGAATGGGGCAGAAGCTCCCCACCCACCTTGCCAGCTTTCTTCTCCACCCAACAAGGTGCCCTTAGCTAATGCTTCAGCTCAGAGACCTCATGGACACAGGGGCTTCTCACTTCTCTTCCCCTCTCTCCCTGTCTCCCTCCCACAATGCCCTGCAGTGAAAAGCTTTCTTCTTTGTTGTCTCTGGTATGGACGTCCCTACATCCCGTCTTCCTCCTACGGGCATTCAGCCTCTTGCTCAGCCTGAATAGAAGAGGTAGCTGCTCTATCCAGTAAAAGAAAAAACAAACAAAAAAACAAAACAACAACAACAAAAAACTATGTCCTGCTCCCTCTAAGTCAATAGCAGCTAAAATAATTTAGAAATTCTGATTTTGCTTAAGACAAGACTCCTTTTACAGACTCAAAAAGTCCTACTCTGAATGTTAAACATTGACTATCGATCCGCTACCACTCTGCTTTGCTAACACCTCAAACCTCAACCTCCCCAAGACAAGCACATGCTGGGTAAGTTTCCATCCAAGGAGATGCAAAGGAGAGCTCTTTCTGCATCATGTTTCAAAAGCACTATCCTGATACAGCAGCTCATATTTGTTGAGATTTACCACGAACCAAGCACTTGATATACATCATGTCGCTTAATCCTTTCAACAGTCTGTAAGGTAGATTATGTTATTTTTCCCAATTTATGGATGAGCAAACTGAGGCTTCTTTAGCCTAGGGTCAAGCAGCAAGTAAGTGAGAGAGTCAGAAATGGAGAAATGGAGCTCAACATGTTTGACTCATAACCACTGTGCTGAAAGGGGACATGAGGCCTGCCCTGCAGAAATTTGCAGAATGGAAGGATATACTTGTGAAACAGTAGACGGTAGTATTATGAGCCGTTCAAAACCCCTTGCTAAAGGAAGGACACTTACTGGTTTTTGTGCATCTACCACACAGCAGGCATTCCCAGAGACCATATCCTCTCATTTTCACAATAATCCTGCACCCCTGTTTTACAAGTAGAGTGGGTAACTGGGCTTAGGGAGATTAGTTCTCCAATGGTCATGAAGTGGTGAAGCTGGGGTTTTGTCTTAGTCCAGCGACTCCCAACCTTTTTGGCACCAGGGACTAGTTTTGTGGAAGACAATTTTTCCACTGACCAGGGATGGGGAGGGATGGTTTCAGGATGACTCAAGCACATTACATTTATTGTGCACCTTATTTCTGTTATTATTACATCACAATATGCAATGAAATAATTATACAACTCACCCTAATGTAGAATCAGTGGGAGCCCTGAGCTTGTTTTCCTGCAGCTAGACGGTCCCATCTGGGGGTGATGGGAGACAATGACAGATCATCAGACATTAGATTCTCATAAGAAGCATGCAACCTAGATCCCTTGCATGCATGGTTCACAATAGGGTCCACGCTCCTATGAGAATCTAATGCCGCTACTGATCTAACAGGAGGCAGAGTGCGGGCGGTAATACGAGCAATGGGGTATAAATGGGCTATAAATACAGATGAAGCTTCACTGGCTCACCTGCTGCTCACCTCCTGCTGTGCGGCCCAATTCCTAACAGGTCACAGATTGGTACCAAGGCCACAGTCTGTGGCCAAGGGGTTGGAGACCCCTGTCTTAGTCCATTCCTGCTGCTGTGACAAAATACCTCAGACTGGGTCATTTATAAAGAATAGAAATGTATTTCATAGTTCTGGAGGCTGGGAAGTCCAAGTTCAAGGTGCTAACAGGTTCAGTGTCTGGTGAGGACGCTCTGCCTCAAAGAGGGTACTTCTTGCTCTGTCACCATGCAGCAGAAGTGGCATAAAAGAAATGAACACTGTGTCTTCACATAGCATGAGACATGGAAGAGCCAAGCAGCTCTCTGAAGCCTCCCAAAGGCCCCATCTCTTCATACCATCACCTTGGGGTTTAAGCTACAACATATAAATTTGGAGGGACACATCCATTCAAACCATAGCAGCTTTGAGCCCAGGTCATGTGATTTCAAGTCTTAATTTCTTCCATTATTCTATGCTTGCCCTGTAGCTTAGGGGAAAATGCATGAGGCTTCCTTTCCTGCTCTAGAAGAGCTGACAACAGTAGAAGAAATGTGACATATACACAAGTAACTACAAAAGGACATAGAACATGGTAAATGTCAGGAGAGAAAGGGACAAGCACCTAGAATATCAAGGGGTGGAGCCTGGCCCCAGCCCAGAGTAGCAGCAGCAAATGGCTGCCGAACACGTGGAATGGGGCTAGGCAGGCATGCTGGGAAGCATGCATGGGAGACAATGACAGATCATCAGACATTACATTCTCATAAGGAGCGTTCAACCTAGTTCCCTTGCATGTGCAGTTCACAGTAGGGTTCACACTTCTGTGAGGGTCTCTGAGCTGGATATGGACATGAATGAGATCTCGGTGTGGAGAGAGACAGAAGTACCTCCAAGAGTGACCCAGCCAGGGCAAAGGCTCTGAGCCACGTAGGCAGGGGACAAGCTGTCCCGTCTGGGTGGCATGTAGGGGACAGGAAAAGGACCAGCAGAAGATAAGGCTGGGGCCAGACCACAGGAGGCTTTGGAGGCAGAGCCAAGGAACTTGATTTGGGGGATCACTTGAGGAGGTCGCCATTGACAGATTTATGTTTTACAATCAGGTATGACTGGAGCCAGGCTTTGAGAAGACACATGTGGCAGAGTGAGCAGGCTGGAGTTGAGAGTAGTAGTACAGTCCAGACAAGAAAAACTGCCAGGACCAAGGAACTGAGAAAGTGGAGGGAGGGGAGTGGGTGTCAGGGTGGGATGGAGGAAATGAAACAGACAAAAAGGGCTTTAGGCAACCTGGCAGGTCCAGGCTGCTCTGGGCCGACTTACCTTGTTGCTGTGTCCTCTCTTAACTCTCAGGCATAGGCCTGGCTGGAGACACCTTGGGCACCACAGGCCCCCAGTGTGGGTACTGGGCCCTGGCATTATAGCAGGAAGATCTTCTTCTGTCCCTGGTCCAGGTAAGCAGAGAACGTGTTGGGGTCAAGGCCAGGCAGGAACTAATGGTGCAGTGGCACGTGTTCACAGAACACACCTACCTCTTACGTTCTGTCAGCCAGAGTTCAGACTTCAAAAGGCTGGAAAGGAAGCAGGGAGAGAGAGGAGATACCTTTATTGGGCATTCATTCTAATCCTCAGTACCCAATGAGAAAAGGCTCTGTATGTGGAGTTTAAAAATTGAGATTCAGAGAAGTTGAACCATTTTCTCAAAGTTACAAAGCTACTAAATGGCTATGAGAATTTGGACCCGAGTCTTCCTGATCCCGTTAACTCAACACACTGTCTTCCCCAGAGCCACTTCCTACCTCCTGACCCCCAACTTTTCACCTCCTGCATCTTCTGACTGGAAGCTGGCTGCCATGTGTGAGCAAACTAAAATTCTCCTCCAAAGAAGCTTCCCCAAAAATACACCATGAGCCTGGTCCCTGCAGCCCCTCCCATAAAGGACTCTGGGTTTGGCTGGAAATGAAGCCCTAGCATTTTTTTCTTACCTTGTTTTCTAACCTCCTTTTCATGCTTTTCTTGTAAACCTTTTTTGTTTGTTTCATTTTTCATTGGCAGCACAAGCCTTTGTTTTTAAAGGTAAGGCAGACATCAACTTCAGAAAATAACTGATAGGGATATTTTAGCCGTGATTTTGCCATTGATAAAAAATTCTAAAGCCTAAGGGGCATCATCTTGGCCCATCATACCTTTTTTTTTTTTTCTTTTAAGGAAAGGGGGAGAAAATTTGTCCAGTTTGGGAAAAACAGTGATGGGAAAGCAATTTGATAACTGATGATTTTCTGAGTGCTTCAGCCTCAAGAAAACCAACAGCTGCAACATATTCGTTACATGGAAATCATTAAGTCATTCTGGGAAGAAATGACAAATGCATGTGCCTGTGTATAGATGGTAGACATGTGTTTACATATGGAGCAAAGCACCCACAGAGGGAATTACTTTAATATTGCCTCTAGGCCAAGAGAAGAAAAAAACACGTGCAATGAAAGCCCCATTGCAAGAGATGATTCTGAACATTAAATTCTTATTGACTGTGAGGTTTGAACTGAAAACGTAGGGAGAAGTCATCTTTTCCTCGACACCTAAGCTCATAGGGATTTCCCTTAGGGAGAGGCAATTCTGTGGGGTGGAGCCAGCCTGGACAGGGCGTCAGGACCTCTCGGTTCTGATCTCCTCTCTGCCGCTAACTAGGGAGTGACCCTGAGGAAGTTTCCCCTCCCTTTGGGCGTCAATTTCTCAAAGGGGGTTTGACAAAATGGTCTCTGACATCACTTCCTCTGACATTCTGTGGATGTGCATTAAGTTTTTATAGCATAAATTCCGAGGAACTGACCTTCTGCTTCATAGAATTGAGCTGCTGGTCCCCCACCCCCTACCAGAAAGTGTTCCCTTTAGTAAAATTAGATTTTTATATAAATCTGATTTGCCTAGTTGCATATAACCATTTGCATTCACAACTTTGTTACCTCAAACCCAACTCCCCAGTTGAGACGATGAAAGCAAAACAATTAGCCATTTCCAACAAAGAAACTTTGTTTCTTTGTTTTCTTCCAAAAAAGAAAACTTTTTTTTTTCCAAAAAAAAAAAAACTTGCATCGCAGACTTAGGTGTGGGAAAGATGCCCTTAGCGTGGAAGGACTGAAGCATGTCATGGCTCGTGGAACAAAGAACCTGCTGGGCCTGAGAACCCATACGAGTTCTGTTCCTGGGCCATGGTGAAATCTGGCCGGCTGTTCTAAATTGAGTGTGTGCATTTTGGTGGGGACTAGCGGGGAGGAGATGGCAGAAGTTGGTTGTTGATAGACCCAATTTAATTATTTTGATGACCCTACGGGTAAATACAATTATCATCTCTGTCTCAACCTAAGTGGCAGAGTCTGGAATCAAACCAGTCCTCTTAAATTCCAGTGAGTGTGCTCTGAACCATGACACTCTAATGCAGAGCCTCTCAACTCTGGCACTATTAACGTTTTGGATAGGCTAATTCTTTGTTGCAGGAGGCTAGCCTGTGCATTCTAGGATTAGATGCATCCCTGGCTTCTACCCGCTAGATGCCAGTAGCAATTCCCCTCATTGTGAAAACCAAGAATGTCTCCACACATTGGCTCATGGTGGAACCACACTGCTCTAATGTCAGCCCAAGTGAGGAGGAGGAAAGGGCAGCCACGAGGCCCATATGTCACCATCCCCTAATGTAAATCTGAGGGATCAACCCAGAGATGGAGTTGGTTGCAGCATCAGTAGCAGTTTGGGAAGCAGGGTGTAGGTTAGGAACATGGCGAACTGAGATGTCTAAAGCATCCTCTGATGATGGGGTATCACGCGTGGCTGAGTTGATGTATATCTGAGCAAGCATGGGCCATCCTCAGTTTAAAGCCTTTTCATTCATTCATTCATTCATTCAAGCATGCATCCAAGGCTTCCTGACTTCTCACTGAGCTGGCCCTGGGGGAGCCAGAGGAGCGATCATGCCCCACCTGTGTGCTCCAGAAACATGCATATCATGGAGAGGGGCAAGAATGTTAGCCACACCATCGAAAATAACAACCCTACCCAGAGGCCAGCTGGAGACCTCCTAACTCAAGGAAAATTCCCTGGCCTTTCTCAGATTCTTGCTAATCACTGGTGGGCTCATCTTCTTCTGAACTTCCTCTGGGGCACTGACTCCCCCATGGCCATCACCCCACACACATCAATGCTGGCATCAAGTTCAGTGGCTTCTCTTTCTCCCGCCACAAGCGAAAATGTCTCCTACCAAGAGCAGTGTGTTTAGTAGACTCACTGACCTCCTTAGTGAGGTCCCAAGAAGGGAGTCTTATCTCACAATACAGAGCCCTTGTCTGTCTTCTTGGCCTTCTGTGCTCTTCCATCTCTACTCCTCAGACCCCTCACAGTTGGCCAAGATCTCCAATTTCTTCTCCCCAGTCCCTCCCACCCATGAGGACTTGGCTGCAGCTGACCCCAGACCCTCAAGTGACTGACCTTCTATTCCAGTCGCTAAGTATGTTCCCCACAAAGACTTTCCTCTCTAAGGAGGACTGGGGAAGCAGCTGTTATAAGGTAATAAAATAAAATTCATATCAGCATAAGAATACTTGGTATTGTAATATTTTTGGCCGTCTCTAATGCTGGGCAAGAAGCTAAGTGCTTGGCATGCATTATCTCATTTAATAAGAGACTCAGATTGTCACAGCGCTGTACAGTAAACACGCGGCATAGTGAGTCAGAGCATACTCTCTCAAATTAGAGTTCCAACCCTGCCTCTGACCAGCTGTGTGAGCCTGGGCTTTGTAGTTCATATCTCTGGGCCTCTGTTTTTCTCCTTCATTTGTGTAATGGGAAAGAGTAGGAGCATATTCTGCTTAGCATTATTGTGAAGATTGAAAGGACCAATAAAAGTGTAAAGTGCAGCCAGGTAGAGTGGCCTGCCATCCCAGCACTTTGGGAGGCTGAAATGAGGGGATCGCTTGAGCCCAGGAGTTTGAGACCAGCCGGGGCAACATGGTGAAACTCCGTCTCCACAAAAATGCAAAAATTAGCCAGGCATGGAGGTACACACCTGTGGTACCAGCTACTCGGGAGGCTGAGGTGGAAGGATTGCTTGAGTCTGGGAGGCAGAGGTTGCAGTGAACTGTGATCGCTCCACTGCACTCCAGCCTGGGTGATAGAGTGAGACTCTGTCTCAAAAAGAAAGAGAGAGAGAGAGAGAGGGAGGGAGGGAGGGAGGGAGGGAGGGAGAGAGAGAGAGAGAGAAAGAAAAGTGTAAAGAGCTTAGAATAGTGTCTGGCAATTAGTACATGCTCAATGAATGCTGGCCGTTGTCATAACTGTTGGAGAATGAATAGAGAAATTTGAGATTGCGTCTGTCTTATGATGGGATAACTCACAGAGCGGGGGAATTGGGGGAAGAGTTCTATAGCATGAGTAAGAGTTCACCTCCAGGAACATCTAATGCTCTGAATTTTATGAAATCAAAGCCTACTAGTCATGAGCCCCTTCTCAGCCTCATCAGCTTTTTCTCCTGGCTTTTTCCCCACTGATTTTCTCATTCCCACAAGGCCCAGTGAGACACTTGGGAAAATATTTTCCAAAATAAATTTCAAGTCATTATTTGTCCTAAACCACCCGATTCTGTGGCCCAGCCCTGTCTACTAATGTTACCGCCCTGTCCCTATTTAGACTGAGGTTTTATAACCAACCAGCCCCTCACCAGGGCTTCCCTGTCCGGCCACCCCCTGCCTGAGTCATCCTGTGTTGTCACAATTCTAGATTTATGATGTTGGCTCTTGTGGTCTCAAAGATGACTCTAGATGGGACCAGCCTTGGGCCCAGCCGCGAAGCTAGTTTTGTTGTGTTCCGCCTCCCACCACCCCATTCTTCCGTGGTGTAGTAAGAAGAGCATGTTCTGGGAGTTGGAACAGGGTTGCCTCCAAGCTCAGCTGTTTCCTTTCTGTGTGATCTTGGACCAGGAGGGCTTTCTCAAAGTCTCAATTTCCTCATTAGTAAATGGGGATGTTTGAAGATGAAATTAAATAGACTATACGAAAATGCCTGTACTCGGTACATACTAGGGGTCATTAACATCTATTGTCACAATTTTGAAACATAATAAACCATCCCAAAGCTCGGCGGCTTAAAAAATAATTATTCTTGCTCTCACAGGTCAGATGGGAATTGGCTGCTCTAGGCCTGGCGCTGAGTGGACCAGCAAGCTAGCCAGGACATGGCTAACTGCAGCAGTACAAGAGGGTCATACCCAAATTCACAAGCACATTTTAAGCCACTGTTTGTGTCACGTTTGCTACCAGCCCATTGGCCAAAATAAGCGACATGACCAAGCCCAGAATTAGGGATAGGGGAAGTATACTCCGCCTCTAGTGGAAGAAACTATCAAGTCACCTGACAACAGGTATTGATACAGAGAGGGGTGAAGAATTAGGAACGATGATACAATCAACTGTAATAGGTGGTCAGGAGATACTTGTTTCCTAATTTCATACACTCCTTCACA